>NC_000013.11:76286893-76438409 GCF_000001405.40 Homo sapiens | reverse complement strand
GTACTGAATATTGTGGGCAATTGTAGCACAATGGTATGTGTGTATCTAGACATAAACAAGGTACAGTAAAAATACAATATGAAATGTAAAAGATGTATACGCTTACATAGGGCACTTACTGTGAATGGAGCTTGCAGGATTAGAAGTTGCCCTGGGTGAGTCAGTGAGTGAGTGGTGAGTCAAGTAAAGGCCTAGGATATTACTGTAGACTTTGTAAACACTGTACACATTGGCTACACTAAATGTATACAAAATATTTTCTCTTTCTTCAATAATAAATTTGTCTTACCGTAATGTTTTTACTTTATAAACTTTAAAGTTTTTAACTTTGACATTTTGTAATAACATTTATCTTAAAAATACAAACACATTGTATAGCTATGCAAAAATATTTTCTTTATATTCTTATTCCATGAGGCCTTTTTCTATTTATTTTATTTTATTTATTTATTTATTTATTTATTTATTTATTTAAAGAGATGTAGTCTCGTTCTGTCTCCCAGGCTGGAGTGCGGTGGCGTGATCTCGCCTCACTGCAAGCTCTGCCTCCCGGGTTCACGTCATTCTCCTGCCTCAGCCTCCCGAGTAGCTGGGACTACAGGCGCCCGCCACCACGCCCAGCTAATTTTTGTATATTTTTTTTTAGTAGAGACGGGGTTTCACCATGTTACCCAGGATGGTCTTGATCTCCTGACCCCGTGATCCTCCCACCTCGGCCTCCCAAAGTGCTGGGATTACAGGCATGAGCCACTGCGCCCGGCCAATTTTTAAAATTTTTTTAACTTTTAAAACTTTTTTTTTTTTTTTTTTTTTTTTGTAAAAAGTAAGACACAAACACAGTAGTCTAGGCCTACACAGGGTCAGGGTCATCAATATCACTGTCTTCTAGCTCCACATCATGCCCCACTGGAAGGTCTTCATAGGCCTTCGCATGGAGCGAAGTAACACGCATGGAGCTGTCATCTCCTATGAAAACAATGCCTTCTTCTGGAATACCTCCTGAGGGACCTGAAGCTGTCTGACAGTTAACTTTTTAATTTTATAACTAGAAGGGGTACACTGTAAAAGAACAATAAAAGTATAGTAAGTATATCAACCTGTAACATAGTCATTTATTATCATTATCAGTGACTGCTATTTTTCATTATCCATGGGAGAATTGGTTCTAGAACCTCCCTAAGATACGAAAATCCGTGAATGTTCAAGTCCCTAATATAAAATGTCATAGTATTTGCCCATGGCCTATGCACATCCTCCTATACACTTTAATTCATTACTAGATTACTTATAACCCCTAGTACGATGCAAATACAGTAATATTGAACTGTCTCCCCACCCAAATCTCATGTTAGTTGTAATCCCCAGAGTTGGAGGTGGCACCTGGTGGGAGGTGATTGGATTATGGGGTGGATTTCTCATTAACGGTTTAGTACCATCTTGTTGGTACTGTCCTCATGACAGTGAGTGAGTTTGCATGAGATCTGGTCATTGAAAAATGTTTGATGCTTCCCCTCTCTCTCTCTCACTCCTGCTTTCACCAGGTGATATGCCTGCTTCCACTTCGCCTTCAGCCATGATTGCAAGTTTCCTGACACTTCCCTAGAAGCTGGGCAGATGCTAGCAGATGCTTCCTGTACAGCCTACAAAACTGTGAGCCAATTTAACTCCTGTTCTTTACAAATTACTTAGTCTCAGGTGTTTATAGCAATGCAAGAATGGACTAATGCGGACAGTAATATCTAATACTATGTAAATAGTTGTTGTAACTGTATTGTTTAAGGAAGAATGACAAGAAACCAATCTATACATGTTCAGTACAGATGTAATTTTTTAAAAATATTTTTGATCCACCATTGGTTGAATCTGTGGATGCAGAACTCACAGATATGGAGGCCCTACTCCTTATGTATTGTATATGATACACTTTTATACAGCTGGCTGTGCAATAGGTTTAACAACAGCATCATGACAAACAGGTCAGTAATGTGTTATGCTTTGACATTATCATGGCTACAAAGTCACTAGGCAATAGGAATTTTTCATCTCCATTATAATCTAATGGGACCACTGTCATATATGTGTTTGTCGTTGACCTAAATCTTATTATGTGGCACGTGACCATATTCAATTATAATAGCTTTTTGAACATTCTTTTTTCTGACTTTGGGCTTAGTATTTTACTTCTACCTCTTACATTGTATACTTTAAAAATATTTTAATAGTTTTTTCACCTATGTCTTCTATTGTGAGGTGTGTGTTTTATAATTTTTGGAAGTACGTTCGGTCTTAAATTAGAAATAATAAATATTAAATGGTATAAAATTAGCTTAATGTTTAAATTGACAAAAGCCATTTAAAAGAGATTTTAAAAATTTATATGAATGCCTTAATGGAATTCCAGTTACATGTCATTACCTTATATATCAAGCAAAAATAAATCACTATTAATTATTAAAATTTTAATGATTTTAAGGATGAATATAAAAATGGGAGGAGGCACAGTAATTCGTATGAATTATTTGATCACTCATCCTTGAAAAAGAGACGACAATTATATTTTCAAATGCAAGTCAGAAGCAAAGCAGAGAATATTTTGTTTATGCTTATTTAACAAGTAGATGTAAGTATTTTTAGTTGTAATCTAACATGTAAAGTATTAAATGGAAATTAAATGACTAAATCTCTTCATGAGAGATGAATGGTATAATTGCACTGTTTCCATGAATATAACTTTTTATGAACAGAGAAATAGGAAGATAGACTGTTATTGCATGTGAAAGTCATTAAACACAATCAGTTATCAATGAGCATAAGCTTATTCTTTTCAATTTTTAGGTGATGATTAGATTTTTTTAATTGCTTTTAAAAATTCACCCAGAATGACATATATTTCATTTTCTAGTGTTTCTCTGTATACTCTATATTTTGCTAGTACTTGGTCATCCCTGTTGCATGATAATGCATGGCGTTGAACCAATTTACTAAAATCTATGTAATTGAACCTCTAATCCATCGATGGCAATATAAAGTTTGCCTTAGATCAAAATCTACCCTTTGTATATCTGTAGGTTTCGGTTTTATTTCTTTGTGACAGGAGCTGACCGTGATCTAAGTAAATGTCTTACTCTTCAAAGTTGTGACCTTGTAATTTAGTCATTTATAGACTCTTATCCAAACCAGTAGCTTTATGAGGAAACATCCCAAGAATGATAATGAGAGATATTGTTTCAGCTGCCTTTGGTCTGACTTCAGGTGGCCATTATCTTATCATGAAACTAAACTTTGCAAAAAGATGTGACAAAATATTCACGTATCAGAACTTTAACCAGGTTTGAAAGCTTCAGTAAAATAATTTGACTGGATAATGTTGGAGCCAAGAGTGACTTCTAAAAGCAAAACAAACAAACAAACAAAAAACAAACAACAACAACAAAAATCTTCAGTACAATTATACTGTAGAATAGTGGAAACCCATTAGAATATTTTGTCAGTTATGTGTTAGCTGTTCACCATCTTCATGCATCTCCTTGGATAAGCCAATCAAACCTTCTAAATGTCTTTGCTCATTTGCAATATAAAAAAGTGGACTATTGTTAATATCCCTTGGGCCCAAACTTTCTATGATTCAATAAAGCAAGACAAAAATAAGCAAAGTGCCAAGTTTTATTCCAGCTAATATAGCCTTAAGCCATTCACATGTACACATTCACGTTTTATGTCGCATAGATAACATAAAAAATAGGAGGAAAACTTTAGGACCATTTCAAATTAAGGTTTGTAAAGAAGCCCGATAGTAAAGTAAGTATAAAAACACTTCCATATGAAAAATCAGAATAAACAAAAACATAAACATAATACATGGACAATTCAATTTTAATGCTATTTCCACACAGGAGAGGCCTTATTCATTCCAGGGCTAAGAACCTAAATTATTTCTCCAAACAAAGACAGGGTGTATCTGGCTTTTCATGGAGGAATCACATCTCAACGCAAATAGAAAGGCTTTCCCATATGATCCACAGCAAAGTAAGAGAGAGTCTGGTAGGTATAGTCATATTTCCTGAATTTTAATTCAGTTCCTTTTACTCTCAATTTTCTTTAAAAATAGTATTCTTAAATCATTTTAAATATTGAAAGATAAGAGAGGCAAAAGATCTTTCAAAAGGATCTAATGGCTAATTGTTTGCAACTATCAAGTTGCTATGTGATAGTCCTGATAAATGAAGTAAAAATAGATCTTGGCTGCTCCTCAGTTTCTGAAAGGCAAAAACTACAGTATAATTTATCATTGCCTTTAATATATATCTTAGAATTTTAAAATTTCAATTTAGTTCCTCCCTTTGCTCAAGAATCTAATTTTACTTCCTCAGTGAAACGGTTTAAGCAATTTGAGTGTTTTCTGTTACAATGTGCATCAGAAATGTTTACGATGTGAACATCAAAACATGTTGGAAATAAAATAATCTCGTAACTTAAACTCAGAGTATCTTTTTAGTGCTAATACAGACCAAGTTAAAATTGCTAATTGAAGTTTAATAGATTATACTAATAAGCCTAAGGGCATTGTCATAAGAGACTTTTGCTTTTTTTCTCTGATGTCAACACACTGTGTCAAAAATGCTTCCAAGAATAAAATATTGTCAATCTCTTTAGTTTATTAGCAAACATTTGTAACAATTTTAATCCTCTCTTATGGAGAGCAAGTACTAATTAAAATGCAATGAGTAACCAACCATTGCACAGCTGGTTGCCATCTCAGAGAGTTAGTCAAGGAGCCATTTCATTTACAATATGACATGAATAGTCAAAAGTCAGATTGTTGACAATCATATCATATGCTGTGGGCTTAGATTTGGCTTGTCATTTCTAAGACTCTCCTGGGAAGTTGTACGTAAAATAGTTTCTACTTAAAGTTAGAAGGAAATTTTTTTTCTTTGTGTTTAAGTTAAGAAAAAGGAGTGATTTATTTGTGGGAAGTTATAACAATAATTGTTCAGGTTATTTTACATACCTACATATGTATACACGGCATATAGGTCCTGTGTGTGTGTGTGTGTGTGTGTGTGCGTGTGTGTGTGTGTGTGTAGGCAATTATATTATATGTAACTACTATACTATACAAATTATTTTCTCCCTTGCTCACACATTCTATTTAGCACTATTTATCTCTATTGGTAAAAATTCCAGATTGCCAGAAAGATGACATTTGAGATAAAGTATGTGAAAATGTTTGGTAAAATGTTTAATGCAGCTAAGTTTTCACTTATTCATGGAAACATTTTTGAAGGTTTTATATCTCCTTTGTTCTTTTCTTTTTCTTTTTTTTTCATTCACATCTCTTTAAATCATATTTAATCTCCAAATAAACACAATAACAAGGTCATAACTCCACTTTACATAATACAACTATCCCACATACAACTGAATATGCATTACCCAATCCCCAGAAAAGGAGGTAAAGTTCTTGATGTTTACTCTTCTCCTTGACATCCTGTAACTTAAAAAATACTATGATGTAAATTGAACAATACTTAAATATTATGTTAATAAATCAATACATTATATAATACATAATAAAGGAATAAGAGAGGGAGAAAAAGGTATTTATTATACACACACAAACATTTCTTAACAAAATAAGGGGGAAATACTAACAGTCCTCATTTATGTAACTGATTACATGGTTATAGTTGATATTTATAACTACCTTCTTTCACTAACTATCCTGTTTTTTTTTGTCTTTTTCTTATTTTTCTAAAATTATGACATGAGTTGCTATTGGTAGAAAATACTTGCATTATCTCACAAATACCATTACACAGCAATGTGCCATTGTCAAATTACAAAATCTTGAAACCTACTGTGACAGCCTTCCAAATTATATCCTTGATTTTAGGGACCATGATAAATAAAAGTGAGAAATCAGGCAGGCTGACATTGAGTACATGGGAACTATATCAGAAACAGAAAAACAAGGAGATAATAATTTAGAGATGGGGCAAAAGAAAATGGATTTTAAGAGAGATCCACAATGAGCCTACATCATTATGGTTCCCTCGATGAGGATGGCATTCAGAACTGCTTTCTGAATGTTTCTCATTTTTTTTAATTTATTTTTTTTTAATTATACTTTAAGTTCTGTGGTACATGTGCAGAACGTGCAGGTTCGTTACATAGATATACACGTGCCATGGTGGTTTGCTGCACCCATCAACCCGTCATCTACATCAACCCGTCTCCTACATTAGGGCTCCTCCCATAGCCCCCTGACAGGCCCTAGTGTGTGATGTTCCCCTCCCTGTGTCCATGTGTTCTCATTATTCAGCTCCCACTTATGAGTGAGAACATGCAGTGTTTGGTTTTCTGTTCTTGTGTTAGTTTGCTGAGAATGATGGTTTCCAGCTTCATCTATGTCCCTGCAAAGGACATGAACTCATCCTTTCTATGGCTGCATAGTATTCCATGGTGTGTATGTGCCACATTTTCTTTAACCAGTCTATCACTGATGGGCATTTGGGTTGGTTCCAAGTCTTTGCTATTGTGAACACTGCTGCAATAAACATATGTATGCATGTGTCTTTATAGCAGAATGATTTATAATCGTTTGGGTATATACCCAGTAATGGGATTGCTGGGTCAAATGGTATTTCTAGTTCTAGATCCTTGAGGAATCGCCACACTGTCTTCCACAATGGTTGAACTAATTTACACTCCCACCAACAGTGTAAAAGCGTTCCTATTTCTCCATATCCTCATTTTTTAAAGTCTAACTTAAGAATCCTTTCTTTCCTGAAACTGAGATCGCTGCAAAAATGTGATTTATCCCAATAGTTAATCCTGATGCCAAGCTGTCCATTGACAAGAATATTAAAGTCCACAATTACTTCATTTCAGGGAAATCATAAAATACATATCAGGTTGGAATAATTTCTTCCTGGACAATATTGACAGTTATTGAAAATTCAATTAAGGTACATTTCGTATTAAAGCTGAGAAAAGCATTATGAAAATTTATTCTGCACTGCTCTAGAAATATGTTGACTATTCTAATTTGGTTTGGCTTTAAACTTGTTCTGATGAGATTCTGCAAAATGGGCCACAACTTTCAAGGAAGAAAATCATTAAAGTCAAAGCAAGAAAAAAGTCAACATAAGTTGTCACGTGCAATACTCGGCTAAATATAAGAAGGTAAATACCCTGTGAGTCTCTGGAGTAGCAAAGGAAAGGAGATCACATGATGACCACTTATGAAGATGCTTAAGCCTACTGGTAACACAATTTAAGAACATAACTGTCATTCTCATAGGATGGTATAGTTTAATAAATGTATTTAAAATAGAAGAGATTAGGTAGCTTTATGAAATTCCATTTGGTACTGATTAAATTTTGATTATATGTGTTAGAAAAAGTACTAGTTTTCTTTTCTACAACTCAAAGGTTACTTATTGTTTAAATTTTTCCAAAAGTTCCAAATAAGTAAACATAGAATAAGCCTCATTAGTTTCCTGTTCGAAAAACTGTCCTGATATTTCCTGATATTGCCACTGCCATTGGACCTATAATTAGGATTTCTATTCTGGGCAGCTTTCCACGTACAACTCTAAAATAAGGACAGTTTGTGGGCATTCTGAACAAATGCCAGCCACTAAACCCCAGTGGTAGGTAAGGGGCTGCCTTGGCTAATTGGATTATATACGCAATTGCTGACAGGTTTTCTCTTTTTCTTGGTTCCAAACTTATTAACTTATTGATGAGAATATTGATCATTTTACAACAATGTTGAGTCAGAGAACTAAAAGTGGCCTTGGAAGAATATTTATGGCTCACTTCTTTTCAACTTCAAATCTTCAGGCAGGTTGGCAGGCAGGTCAAAAGAGAAATGAAGGAAAAAAAGAAGCAAAGAAAAGAAGCAAAGAAAGGAGAAAGGGAAGGAAGAAAAGAAAGAGACAAAGATCTCTGACCACAACACCTAATAATGAGTCATTTGGTTCTCAGTGGAACTAAAACTGGATTTTAGAGTTTTAAGTCACAATTGAAGGATGAGAGGAAGAGAATAAATCACTAAAGTAAACAATGTAGGAAGAAAATACTTTTTTTCAGATTTGTTATAATAAGCAAACATTATGTAACAGCTTCTTGCAGATGTATTTTACGAAACAGAGGAGACTAAACTAAAATCTCCAGCAAATGTAAGATTGTGGAGAAGAAAACAATTGAAAACAACATTCTTTATTGGGCTGTTATGTTTTACTGCATGTATTACCAGATTTCTCCAGACAGAATAAAGCTGGCTTTATATTAGAGCTATAAGCCCTTCAACTTCTGATGGTTTCTAGCAGTATATTTCATGAAATGCACTCTCAGACATTTATACAAGTTTGGCATTTATTTCTATCCTTAAAATATAAGTCAAGAATGTCATTTAGGTCTCATAATACAAGAAAAGCTATCAATTGCTTTATAAGACAAAGTGTAAGCGGGGAAATCTGCATTGCCCAGTGGGGTGTATACTTAACCATATTTGTTGCTTATTTTTTAATAAAAATGTAATATAAATTTACATGTATAAATTTACATAAACATATACATGTAGTTTATTTTTAAAATATTTTATAATTAGTAAGAATGTATCAAATTTGCTAAAAATAATTATAAAATATTTGGCCCTCATTCTTTCCCATATTAACGTCATCTTCTTTTTACTAAGTCTCCTTCAATCTGGACCATCTTAGGCTATTCTTCTTTGCAGTCAATGGAGATCTCTTATCTTCTCAAATACCAATACTTTTCTGACTTTTGTTCTTTAGGTATCCCTTCTCCACCTGTGTACTTGTTCTGTCCCATCCATAGGATCTTCCTGTATAGCTTACCAATTCGCTCTAATAATTCATACCTTTTTAAAAAGACAAAAACACAAAACTTTATTTGTTCACATGTCATTCTAGCCCTACTCACTTTTTCCCTTCCTCTGTGTAGCCAAAATTCTCATCACCTGCTATACTGCTACAGTGTTTCTACTTTCTTACCTGCCTCTCCCTCTTTAACTCAAACCAGTTGGGATTTGCCCCTTACTTTTCCCAAGAAACACCTTTTGCTAAAATCTCAGAAGTCTAGCCAAAAGCAATGTCTTTTAGTTGTTAGCTTAGCAAACTTGTCCTTTTTCTGCGTGGTCTAGACACCACACTTTCTAGTCAAGTGTTGTTTTCTTGCCTCTGACCTGCTCTCCTCCCCAGTTCCACAACAGTTGCTTCCTACTCTAAGCTATTTCTAAATGTTGGAATTGGAATTCTGTAGTCTGGCTTCAGACTGTCCTCAGTTTTCATTCTAACCTTTCTCACTAGATGATTGCACCTATTTGCCTGATGTGTAATACCATTTAGAAGGCAATAGCTCTCAAATTTATACTCCCAACTATGACCACTCTTGCAATAGCTAGACTCTT
Source organism: Homo sapiens (assembly GCF_000001405.40). Classification (NCBI taxonomy): domain Eukaryota; kingdom Metazoa; phylum Chordata; class Mammalia; order Primates; family Hominidae; genus Homo; species Homo sapiens. The sequence goes on along the minus strand of NC_000013.11, from coordinate 76,428,967 downwards.
TTTATAGTCAACTTCTCATTGACATCTGATGAATATCAAAAAGGCAACTTAAGTTCCTTAACATATCCAAAACTAACTCTCAGTCTTTGAGCCAAACCTAACCTTACTCTGTCTGGTCTTTCTGTTGTAAGAATTCATTAAACTTGAGTCAGAGTTACTTGAGTTACCTGAGTCAGAGAAGTGGAAGGGATCTTTGAGATCTCCCTTTGCCTCTCTATACTTGCCACGTTAAAATTAAAAATGAGTCCTGCCACTGCTTCCTCAAAAATATATCTGGAATCTACATATGTTGTTCCACTACAACTGTTACCACTTTATTCTAAGTTAAATTCTCATCTTGACTTCCCTGTCTTTTTTTTTTCCACCCATTCCTCTTACAACAATCAAGCTACCATGCCCCACACTTATTTAATGTAGAGCCATGCATTGCTTGACAATGGGGATACCTTCTGAGAAATGCATCATCAGGCGATTTTATCCTTTTGTGTATCTTATAGAGTGTACTTACACAAACCTAGATGGTCTAGCCCCACTACACATCTAGGCTATATGGTATAGCCTATTGATCCTAGACTACAAACCTGTACAGCACGTTACTATACTGAATACTGTGGGCAATTGTAACACACTGGTAAGAATTGGTGTATCTAAACATAGAAGAGTTAATCCATTGCACTATGACATTATGATGGCTATAAGATCACTAGGCAGTAGAAATTTTTCAGCTTTATTATAATCTTATGGCACCACTGTCTATATGCAATCCATTGTTGACTGAAATGTCCTTATGCATCTCATTACCATATTTCATACCCTCTTATATTACTCATTGTATTTAGAATAAAATCCCAGTTTATAAATGTGGCCTGAAAATGTCCTATATTATCATACCCTGGCCTTCCTCTCTAACACTGTCTCATCACTCTTGACCATTACATCCCAGAGACGTTGTCATTTAATTACTCTAAGGTGTCAAGCTCTTCCTTGCATTAACGTCTTCATCACTTTCTTTCCTCTAACTGAAATATCCTTCCTTCCACATGATCTTGGCAAATGACCACTCATTCTTCAGGCGTTAGCTGAAAGTCACTTTTTGAGTTAATCTGAATTAAGTTGTTTCTGTTGTTTTCATATAGACCACTGTTATTTTTAGTAAAAATTAGTAGCATATTTATTTTTTGCTAATGCTTGTCACTTGACTAGATGTTAAGTTTCAGGACAATCCATGCCGCCTTTTTTTTTTTTTTGAGCCATTCTATATTTAATGCCTAGCACAGTGCTGGGCACAGAATAATTGTTAAAAATTGTTGAATAAATGACAAGGTAACAAAAATAATTTTTTGTTACCTTGGCAACATAATTTTCCTCAGCTTTAGTAGTAGGATGATATTGGTACAAATACACTGACAGTTATTGTGGGGGGCTGAAGCAATACCATATCCAAGGAGGTGGGAATACCATTTCTGAGAAATGTACCATTTTGTCATTCTTATCTCTTATTTTTCTACCTGTAGTGCCAGGATTAACACTTCCATTCACATTCTTTTACAAATCTGTATGCAAATCAGTCTTCAGTGCTATTCTCACCAGAAAATTCTGCAGTTTCTAAATTGAAGGTTAAGTTATGTTTGGACCAACAGAATATACCAACCCTCCTAGGATCAATAGAGAATTATATAAAAAATAATTTAAATATGTCTGTTGTAAGTTGAATTGTGCTCTACTAAAATTCATATGTTGAAGTCCTAATCCCCACTATCTCAAAATGTGAACTTATTTGAAAATAAGGTCATTGCAGCTACAATTAGTTAGGCTAAGATGAGGTCATTCTGGACTCCTAATACATTATGACTGATGTCTTTGAAAAAGGGAAAATTTGGACACAGACACACACATATGTAAAGATGAAGACAGAGATAAACCAAGGAATGCCAATGATTGATACAAACTACCAGAAGTTAGAAGAGAGACATAGAATAGATTTTCCTTCATAGCCTTAGTAAAGTACTAAACCTGCTGACACCTTGCTTTTAGACTTCTAGCCTTCAGAACTGTTAGACAATATATTTCTGTCATTTAAGCTAGCCAGTTTGTGGTATTTTGTTAAGATCTAGCAAACTAATACAATGTTTAATTCTTTTGACTGTTATTTCATTTCTGGGAATATATTCTAGATAAATAATTGCATGCTAATAAAGATACAGTAAAAATGTCAATGGAAGCATTAGCTATAATAGCAAAATTAAAAATTATATTGTATCTACACAGTAAAATACAAATCCATTTAAAATATATTTTGAGTAATTTTTAATGACACAGGCAAAAGCTTATTCTACAATATTAAGTTAAAAAAATGACAGTGAGACTTCTGCTTTTGATTAATATGGAGTAACAAGGACTGAATTTACTTCCTGCCTGAAACAACTAAGACATCAGCTAAGGAAAGTATATGACACGGTGACAATCAAGATATGGGATCAATCAAAAACAATGATCCTTGAGAGATAGGAAGCAAATTAGATAAGCCCTATGATTTATCCAATTTACTTCCTGAAGAAAGTTTTCAGGCTGTGGCTTATGGAGGAGAAATCCAGGCAGAATCTGGAGGTTTCTTTGAGTTGAGGAAACCAAGCTGGGAATTTCCAGAAGCCAAGGCAGATGGCATTCATTGGACAGAGCACCATAAAGGTGAAAGCAGCACAGAGTCAGCTTTGGAGGCTTACAGATGGTCCCCCTTCAGTATTCAGTTGAGTGCTGATTAGCTCATGCATGTGAGGAAACTACTAACAGCTGGAGGAAAGAACCATCTGAAAGGATTAGAGAGAGTCATACTCAGACTTGGCAGGACCAAGATCAGCATCCGTTCCTAGCAAGACTTGAGAAATGTGTAATTCATGGCTCATAGTTAGCATACTAAGAAATATCTTGCCTTAGTAGTGGGAAAAAATAAATACTAGACTGAATGCAGTACCGGCCTACATAACACAGCTTAAAAGGATCAAATTGTGTTCAAGTAACTTGAAGATATCCCAGAACAAATCTCACAAATATTGATAGAAATATTTAAAAAAAGAAAGAAAACAAAACACCCACAATAAGAGTGAATCACAATGTCTGGCATCTAATCAGACATTACCAGGCATCCAAATAAAAAGAAAATGCAACTGTTAGTGAAAAAATCAATCAACTGACACTGACCCAGAAATGATACAAATACTAGAATTAGTAAACAAGGATATTAAGATACTTATGACTATATTCCAAATGTTCAAGAAGCTAGAACAAAGATTGCACTTGATACACAGAAACATGGAAGATAATAATATACAGATGCTCCTCAAATTACAATGGAATTATGTCCCCAACAAACTCAGAATAAGTTAAAAACATGTCAAAAAATGTACTTAAGGCCGGGTGCGGTGCCTCACGCCTGTAATCCCAGCACTTGGGGAGGCCGAGGCGGGCGGATCACGAGGTCAGGAGATCCAGACCATCCTGGCTAACACTGTGAAACCCCGTCTCTGCTAAAAATACAAAAAAATTAGCCAGGCGTGGTGGTGGGCGCCCGTAGTCCCAGCTATTTTGGAGGCTGAGGCAGGAGAATGGCATGAACCCGGGGGGGCGGAGTTTGCAGTGAGTAGAGATCGCGCCACTGCACTCCAGCCTGGGCGACAGAGTGAGACTCTGTCTCAAAAAAAAAAAAAAAAAAAAAGTACTTAAATATCCTAATAAACCCATCATAAAGTCAAAAAATTGTTAAGTCGAACCACTGTAAACTCAGATGCTCCTCAATTTATGATAGGGTTATGTCCCAATAAACCTATCACAAAGTCGAGAAATCACATGTCAAGTCATTGTAAGTCCAGAGGCTCCTAACTTAATGAAATTAAGTTGTGGTAAACCATTGTAAAGTCAAAAGAATGGTAAGTCCAGCTATTCTAAGTCAGGGACTGTCTGTATTTTAAAACAACCCAAATTCAACTTCTAGAAATGAGAGCTATGATGTCTGACATGAAAAATACACTGGCTAGGATGAATGGCAGATTAGATATTACAGAAGAAAACATTATTGAGCTTAAAAACATAGAAACTCACCAAAATTAAACACAGAGAGAAAAATACTGAGAAATATGAATAGTATGTTTAATATGAAAACACATGAAAAATATGAAGTGTGGAATAAATTCAAGCAGTTAAGTATATATAAAATTGGAGTTATAAAGGAAAAGATGTTTGGGTGGATGTATTTAAATAAAGACTGAATATTTTCCAAATTCAATGAAAGCTGTAAATGCATAGATTGAAGAAGCTCTATGAGCCTCAAGCACAAGAAAGGTTAAAAAAATACACAAAGGTACATCATTATCAAAATTATTAATGCCAATGATAAGGAGAAAAATCTTAAAAACAGAGAAAATAAAAATTAGATACAGTGGGAAAATATGGTGACAGCAGATTTCTATTTGTAACAACTTGAGAGAGAGAGAGAGAAAGAAATAATAACTTTAATGTATTTTTAAAAAACCAACAGGAGCAGGTTGCTTAATTTCCATGTAGCTGCATGGTTTTGAGCAATTTTTTTAGTCTGGACTTCTATATTTATTGCTCTGTGGTCTATGAGTGTGTTTGGTATGATTTCGGAATATAAAAAGAACTTTCAAAACTCAGTAATAAAGAAGCAAGCAACCCAATGCAAAATGGATAAAGAATTGCACAGATACTACACCCAAGAAGACACATCCATGTCAAAAAAGTACATGCTCAATATCTTCAGCCACTGGAGAAATTTGAATGAAAGTCAAAGTAAGAATATACTGTGTAGTTAGTAGAATTTCTGAGCAAAATAACACATAGTGCATAATTTTTATATAAAATTCTAGAAAATTTATGATAATCTATTGTGATAGAAAGCAACCAGTTTTTCCTTGGGATAGGTGGAGGGTAGGAGAATCAGCAGGAAGGATAACAAAAGGTATGAGGAGTTTTGGAGAGTGATGCATATGTTCATTATTTGATTGTGGTGATGGCTTGGCAATGTATTTATCTGTCAAGATATTTCAAATTGCACACTTCTAACATATACAGTTTATTGTATGTTTACTATACCTAAATAAAACTGTTAAAAAGGGAACCTACAAAATGTTGTTAGTTTTATCACAATGATATAAAAAATACAATGCATAGCTATCACAGAAAACCTATTACAAACATTGAAATAAAAATATAGTAGATTTTAAATAATGGCATCATGAGTGAATTTTTCTTCATTACTTTATTATTAAAATATTTGAAAATGACGTGTGTGCTTTAATCTTCAGGAAAATGAATATTTTCATAGGTAAAAAAATGCAAAGGTTTAAGTGTGTAGTAACTTTTCTCTCAAGTTTAAAATATACCTTTCTTTATCTTCTCTTGGTTTTCTTTTTTTTTTTTTTTCTTTGAGACGGATTCTTGCCCAGTCGCCCAGGCTGAAGTGCAATGGCGCGATCTCAGCTCACTGCAACCTCCGCCTTCCGGTTTCAAGTGATTCTCCTGCCTCAGCCTCCCACATAGCTGGGATTACAGGTGCCTGCCAACACGCCTGGCTAATTTTTTGTATCTTTAGTAGAGACGGGGTTTCTCCATGTTGGCCAGGCTGGTCTCGATTTCCTGACCTCATGATCCGCCCACCTTGGCCTCCCAAAGTGCAGGCATTACAGACGTGAGCCACCGCGCCCGGCCTCTTCTTTTGTTTTAAAATGGAATGTCAATAAAAATATAGTTTTCCATTAGACAGCCCCCTCGCAAACACAAACATTCAGAGAGTTAAAACTAGACATTTTCTGTTTCGCAGAAAAAAAAAAATCTTGATATGAATGGAGATGAACCAATAACTCTATATACTTAAGATTATGCTGGATATTACATAATGAAAAGAAAGAAGCTTATTTTGTGGCCTTCAAAGTTTCGGAAAAATTAAAATTCTCATTGTGAAGGCAGACTTACAAGAAAAAAGAAAGAAAATTAAAGAAGACTCATTAGCCAGATGGGAAACAGAAGAAAATAGGAAAAAAAAAAACAAAAAAACGTGAAAAGAAAGTGAAGAGGAAGCAGTAAAGAGGCAATAGTGACTAGAAACTTGGACAAATGAAGAAGGAATAGAGATGGAAGAAACACATGGCTGACTTACTCCCTAGTTGATATCTCTTCTGTCTTTCTCTACCTTTCTTCCCTGAGAGCCGCAACAGCAGAATTGGGAGCCATATGGTCTCCATTTGCAGATTCAGCTTTATCTGGGGTCTGTGGTCAAACTTACCTCTAGGGAAGGATTGGGAAGTCTCAATTCAGGACCCACCTGGTGTGCATCCTGAAAGTATTAACATATATGGTACAACTGGGATAAGGCTTAAAACCCACACCTCCTCCTAAAATTCTTTCTTTAAATCCTATTTTGATATTTTCTTTTTGTCCCTTTTTCACATCTTTGTACATATTTGATTGTACTTTATATTTACTTTCTCTAAGAACAAGGATTATGTTTAGTTCTTCTTTGTAACTTACCTTCTTTGCCTCATGCTTTCCATGTATGAGCGCTTAGAAAAGTTTTTTAAAGAGTTGGGCTAAATAGTAGATATTCAGAGTGTTCAATATCAAGATACATTTCCTGTGAGTTCTGTTTAATGTGCTGCAATTCCTCTGTATAGACTAAGTCTCTCAGGCTCAAATCTGAAGAGGAGGAACAGATACATAAAATATATTATTTAGTGCATTTTTGCCTTTCGATATCACACAGTCATCACATTCATGAAGTCCTAAGGATATTCTCCATGTCGGCTTAAGAAAATAGTGAAAAACATAGTATGGTTTTATCTTTTGTAGAAAAATATGGTTAAATATACCATTTTGAGAAATTCATTTCTGTGAACTAGCCCCATAGAGGAGACAACAGCAGCTAGAACCTTGACCACTGAAGAAGAGATAAAGGTGGAAGAAACATGTGTTTCAGATAGTGCTTAATAACTGAAATGTTATTGTATTCTTTAAAAATCAGAGATCTAAGTCTTATGATTCTATTGGAAGGATGTTCAGTCCACTGATCCTTCAATGCTGATGCCTGTTAGCTATGGGAAAGCTCAGTGTTAGACTCCTTTGTCTGTTTCTGCTGAAAGCTATGAGAACTCTTTCATATGTGTAGGTGTCAATGAGAAACAGTCTGAGGGAAACTGCAGTCTTCTGTTCTATCAATGTAGACATTTGATCAGAGGCCATATGGTCATGTCTCTAATAGTTAAGGCAAAGTAGGGCATCTAATTTAGTCACAATACATCTTCATTGCACTGATGTCATTTTTATTTAGTGGTGACTGTGTTTTAGGTAAAATATAAGACACTGTTAATGGCAGATAAATGCCCTCTCTAGTTAGACATTCATGTGGTTAGAAGACATATAAAAGAACATATCTCAGAAAACAAAAGCTTACTCATTGGATGTAAGTTTTATCTTGGTCCAGTTAACCTTTGAAACACTGCACTGTTGGATTTTTTTCAGAGATTTTCTTTCACTTGTAATGTGAAAATTACCCACAAAGTAGGATGATTCTTTTAAATTCTTAATAACACTGAAGAAAAGTGAGAAAACATTTTAATTCAGTTGTTCAGCTAAAAAGTGAATGGCAAATGATTTGGGATTCATTCCAGTCGTTATTTGTACTTCCTATTTAAGGTGCTTCACCATGACACATAGTCATGGCCTTCTTATGACATTTTCCTTGTTTAGGTAAAACATTAAGTTGCCAAGGCCGGGTGCGGTGGCTCATGCCTATAATCCCAGCACTTTGGGAGGCCAAAGCAGGCAGATCACCTGAGGTCAGGAGCTTGAGACCAGCCTGACCAACACAATGAAACCTTGTCTCTACTAAAAAAATACAAGACAAAACAAAACAAAACAAAAAACAAAAAACCTAGCTAGGTGTGGTGGCAGGCACCTGTAATCCCAGCTACTCAGAAGGCTGAGGCAGGAGAATCACTCGAATCTGGAATCTGGGAGGCGGAGGTTGCAGTGAGCTGAGATGACGCCACTGCATTCCAGCCTGGGCAACAGAGAGAGACTCTGTCTCAAAAAAATTAAGTAAGATTAAGTTGCCAAGAGCAACAACATCTGAAGTGATCAGTGGATAACTGGGATAACTAGATTCATATGCCATGGGGATACAAGCTCTTGGTGTTGGAGAAGATATATTGATGGAGGATAAGAAGAGGCAGGAGTTACTTCTGAGGCCTCTGTTCTGTTCCATTAGTCTATATATCTGTTTTGGTACAAGTACCATGCCGTTTTGGTTACTGTAGCCTCGTAGTATAGTTTGAAGGCATGTGTATACCTATGTAACAAACTTGCACATTCTGTACATGTATCCCAGAACTTAAAGTACAATTTAAAAAACAAGAGGCAGGAATAAATGGAAATTCTAAATAAGAATTAAATTGCTGTGAAAGGAAAACTATGAAGGAGTAAGAGATGTTATACTGGTATAATAAAAAAGAAGACTTTGAACAAATCAAAGACATAATACCAGAATAAAAATTTAGCTTGACCAAAGGAAAGGTCTTACTTTTGTTGAAATACACTCAGGGAAATATTCCAAGAACCAAAATATGTCACTTGCATTATGTTTCCTAAATAGTAAGCCCCGTTGCTACTTGTAGGGCTAAATATTGGTAATAGGAACCTTGGAGAAATATCAATTTTGGTTAAAGGAATATTTTTAATCTGAATTTTAAAAGAAAAATGGGAGGAAATGTACCAGTCCTACTTTTGCCAATTGGATAAGCAGGCAGAAGTTTACTGGATTCAGAGTTTAGCTTTTATCACAGTCTACATTATAATAAATGTATCCGTGTCATGGATACATATTCCCTTAAAGGACAAGGGGTGGATTTTTTGTCATCTTTGTGTCTCCCCCAATTCCTTACATTTATATGATATTGAATAGTATTTTACCATAATACATTTCTGCCCAGTCTACTGACTGGCTGAAGAAAGTTTCTCTGAGCATTAGCCCTACAAAGTTGCAGCACGGACAGGTAGGGATATGCATCTACTCTTACTAATTGTAGTATTTGTTTTCTATAAAGTGGCTGCAAACACTGAATTAGTGAACCCTGAACCATTGCTTCTAGAGGAAATACAAGATTGGGTCCTGCGAGTTTCATTTCCATCAACTGATTAATACATAACCCTGGTTTGTGTGTGTTTCTGTTTAGGGACATCTTATGTAATATATATTGTTGATTCATTCATATTGAACTCACAATCCACAGCTATATAACTCATGCCTGAAAGAAGCTTCTCTAACCCATGGACTTTCTCCATGAGGCACCTCATAACCTGCTTGTGCCTAGGAGCAATAGATAGCCTCAGGACCATGCTTGGGGGCCATTTTAAAAAGCGGAATCACTGCCTTCCAAAAATATATATATATATATATATATATATATATATATATATATATATATATATATATATATATATATATGAAAAATGTGGCAGTAAATAGACCAGGAAAAAAATACTTGTTGATAGTAGGAGAGCTAAAACCAAAAGGCCTTGTTTGACATCAGCTGGGAACATCCATATGAGGCAATTCAAATTTCTCACTGCCTTGTGCGTGTCCACAAGTGATCATGAAAGCACGGAAAGTATTGGTTTGGGGAGTTAAGTGAATTTGCGAGTAAAGAATCTGAACTATTGGATCTGGGATTGATTGTACCCTTTTTTCTCCGAGGAAGCTAAGAATGAGATAAAATGGACATAGGCAGGGACTTAGGAGCAAACTTGACTGAGTTCAGCATTCAAGTCCAAATCCATTGTGCATTTATTTTCTTACCAAGGGTTACTTTACCAGCTTGGGAATTTTAGAATACACTTGTTGTTTCCAGCAAGTCCAAAACATAAGTCTCTTTCTGGATTTGGCACCTGCTGCTCAGTCATGCACTGACCTGAAATTCTCATCTCAAAAGGGTATTGATGTGTATTGAGAATTGAGGCAGACTACTGGCTGCCTATTCATTCTTTCCTTCTTTATTAATAGAACTCAAATTTGTTGGGAGATGATTGCAATGAGACCAATTAGAGAATGACATGCCCAGATGCCTTTGAAAAGAGGGTGGTTAAATGACCAATATCTGACCAATGAGATGTAAATAGAAGTTGGCTTGGTCTTCAGGAATAACTTTTAAAAATGAGAACAGTTCAGTTAGTGTAGATCCCATTGCCACTTCTTCCTCCCTATTTAGCCAGAAAAAAGATACAGAGGCTGAAGCATCAGTAGCTATGTGACTTTGAGTGACCTTCAGGATGACAATCCCTGAGACTAGTGAAGGATAAAAATAAACAGAGCCTAGATTTCTGATAATATGGAGGTGCCCTGCCAGCCCTGCATTCCGTTCCTCCAGGCTTCCCACTCGAAGAAAACACAATGCAATGTTTCTAAGGTTTTTTGTTTTGTTTTGTGTTTATACTCTACTTACTGCTGAGTGCAGTTTCTCCTCCTCCCCCTCCTTATCTCCCTCTCCTTCCTCCCCTTCCTTCTCCCCCTCTCCTCCTCCTTTTTTGCTCCCACTTCTAAGTATTTGCTGAGCTGTCACCTCTCCTTCCTATCTCCTGTTGTTTAATAAATCTCATTTCTGTGAGATTATTAAGCCTCACAGGGCTTTTTGGTTTTTGATTAATATTCTTTCAAAGCGTCCATAGCGTCTATACTTTCCTCTTTCTCAGTTTCTTCTTTGATCTCCTTGCTGAGAGTTCTACTTCTTTTAGTTCCTCCTTTCAGGGCACTTATTGGCCCCTTCTGGATTCCTGAGCTATTGAGATTTAAAAACAACCAGCCTTTGCTTCTTCCTCTGATGGATGTTATGCCCACTCAGGGTATTTGTCCTCACCAGTTTGTACTCTGAGACTGGGTGGCACTTTTTCATCTAAATTTGTTGAGACTGTTTTCCAAATAAAGACATTTCTTTATTTTCCCAGTTGCTCTGTCTGTTTTAATGAAAGTATTTGAGCTTATTAAAATGTGCGGTCATCTCTCATGATCATGTCAGTCCTTGGAAGTTTAATTTACATCCTATCTAATGGTAGCATACCCCACGCAGCAGGCGTCTTCATATACAGTTCGTTATTTCTTCTTCAGAAAACCCTTGAGATAAGTGTTATTCGTCACATAGTCAGATGACAAAGTTAAAAGTCCAGAGAGGTTAAGTAATTTGCCTAAAGCCACCAACATAAAAATTGGTGTAATCCACATTGGAAGTTGTTTCTGTTCAGCTCATTATTAAATGCAATGTAAATCCTTTGGTAATGAATCTGAAAGCATCATTTCATAGCTGTGCTGTCTTAGAAGGTCTCTGTGCGTGGCCTCAGAAAAATCACAGCAAACTTTGTGATTTTTGACACTGATCCAGGGTTCACTCATTCTAATTCATGGCTGTAAGTTTTTAGGTGGAAATGAATCTGGTAAAAGTCTAAAGGAGAGATAGAAGTATTTTTTGTTTGTAAAAATCTAGGCAGATTCTGGTTACAGCATTTCTCTCATGTGTATCTCTCATGCACCATTGCAAACATAAATAGCTTTGTAGATAAAGAGAACACTTGGTCATCATCCTCTGTCTAATAGTATCATATGTGCCGAAAAGTACACCTCAGCTTTCTGATTACAAGGTTAACAATTCTACTTCCTTTACTCCTGCACAGAAATTTGAAAAACAAAAACACTTGTATCTCTTCACAAAACTTTAACTAGATTCCTTTTCTATATCTGTGTTCTTCTATAAAATATATATATATGTATATATATATATATATATACATATATATATATATTGTTTTTTTTTGAGACAGAGTCTTGCTCTATCCCCCAGGCTGGAGTGCAGTGGCATGATCTCCGCTCACTGCAACCTCTGCCTGCCGGGTTCAAGAGATTCTCCTGCCTCAGTCCCCCGAGTAGCTAGGATTACAGGTGCCTGCCACCACGCCTGGCTAGTTTTTGTATTTTTAGTAGAGATGGGGTTTTGTTATGTTGGCCAGGCTGATCTTGAACTCCTGACCTCCAGTGATCCACCCTCCTCGGCCTCCCGAAGTGCTAGGATTACAGACTTGAGTCACCACACCTGGCCAAGAGTTTAATATTTCTATTGGCATTTGCATGTCTACATGAATTTATTTTTCTTTTCCACAGTTTCTGCTTACTTTTGCTTCTTTGGATATTATTTTACCCTTAGAATTAAGAGGACAGAAAGACATAGGATATTGGGTTAGAGAGAAGATGAGATAGGATGGTAAACAGCACGTACCAGTTCCTGGGCCCGGTGATTTTCATTTAATAACTAAGTAAATCCTCACATGGTTATTTCCTTTACATCACCACAGTCTCAGCCCAGATATTACCTCTTCAGGTAGACTTTCTGATTTCTGTAGCTCAGTTTACAAACCCTCTTTCTGTCACCCTACCTCCACGACTCTCTCTACCAAGGCTTTGTTGTATTTTATTTGTAACGTTTCTTTTTCACTCTCTGAACTTACTTACTACTCCACATATTTATTTTCTCTTTTATCACATTAGAAAATTAACTTGTCAATAAGGTTTGCATCTGTCTTCTCAACCACTGGATTCTTAGCTTCTAGATAGTGCTGTACACATAGTATTTGCTCAATAAATATTTCTTGAATGCATAGATTGTTAAATAAATGAAAGAACAAGGACCTCTGTGTAGGTAGAGGCCAATATCACAATAGAACCAAAATGTCTATGAGGTCAAAATCTGGAGCAAGAAAGGAAAGAAAACTAGCAAGATAAACTTAGGAAATAAAGATGAAGATATATTTTCCTATTTCCCTCTAGGGCAATGTACAATGAATTTTAAAGCAAAAAGAAATTGGCTTACAACTAGATCAAACAGTCTGTCTTGTGCTTCCTGGATGATGGCTTCTGCTATTTTCTTTCTTTTTTTTTTTTTTTTTTTTTTTGAGACAGAGTTTCACTCTTGTTGCGCAGGCTGGAGTGCAATGGCGCAATCTCGGCTCACTGCAATCTCCACCTCCCGGGTTCAAGTGATTCTCCTGCCTCAGACTCCCAAGTAGCTGAGATTACAGGCATGGGCCACCATGCCTGGCTAATTTTGTATTTTTAGTAGAAACAGGGTTTCTCCATGTTGGTCAGGCTGGTCTGGAACTCCTGATCTTAGGTGATCTGCCTGCCTCGGCCTCCCAAGGTGCTGGGATTACAGGCGTGAACCACCGCACCCGGCCAACCTCTGCTATTTTCACTCATCTCGCTAGATTATTTTCCTTGCTAAATTGATAGTGAGATTGTTCTGTTGAGACTCAGTTTCTGGATAAATCCCAATCAAATGGCAAATGATGATTATGAATATACCTAGGTAGGTCAAGGTTCATTGCTACCTCATTTACTGTCTGATAAGTAGGATTGAGCCAATAAGCATGTGTTTGCTCAACTCACACTGACTTAACTCTTTCACACTAGGGTGTAGATATAGTAAACCGTTACCTACTAATGCACTCATGCCATATCTAGTAATTATTGTTATGAGAGGGTCCACATGAATATCTTAAATTTTGTTTAAAGTTGTGCTCATCTGAGCATATTGTATGATGGACCCAGAGCTTAAATTTTGTTAGTGCGTCTTTTGTGAAATAACAGATATTTTCATTAATTATGCTAGCCTAAAAAGTAGGAATATTGACTACAGTGAAAAACACAATCCCCACTCTATTCAGATATGGCGCTGTCTGATGCAAGCAATGGTATAGGAATTACTATATCTTCAATATCTAAATAATCAATTGTGTACCCATAATGGTAATTTGTTTGGAAAATCAACTAAAAATAACAAATCTCTTTTGTTTGATAATCTCAATGTGGCCCACGCCAAACATTCTAAGGCATCTAGAAAATTAATGCAAAATATCTGTAAAAACTTTTATGAATATTTTTCTAAAATGAACTATTCCTATATTACTTTTATAAGCTGTGTTAGAAGTTCACATTCCAGTTATATGAGGAGCTAGATTATTTAGACAAAGTACTCCACTGAAAACAACTATGTATGTTTTGTAGAATATATTTTTAAGGTACTTTTTAAAGTATTGCAGAACTGACAATAGAGTAAGAAATTATCAAACCAAAATCTAAATAAAAGTGGGAACACAGACGGGTTCTGAGTGGGCTTCTGAGACTGGTTTTGTGCTGATGACATGTTACCAAAACTTGTGAACTTGAACTTGGGTATTGGTAGTCTCCTGGGAGTGAATGAAAGATTGTTTGACACTGAACAGAGCCAACTGGAATGCAAGGCAAGGGATGTCATCACTGAGAAGATGTAATCACCAGAATTCCTCCTATGGATATACAGCCTACATTTACATCTCCTGGTTTACTCTCCACTGCCCCAAATCCTCAAGCTGTGAATTCACAAGGAAGAAAATCACCATGTGTGAAAATCAACAGGAACAACAAACAGAAACAGACCCATGGGACTTCAAATATTTAAATATCAGGCTGGGAACGGTGGCTCATGTCTGTAAACCAAGCACTTTGGGAGGCTGAGTTGTGAAGATCACTTGAGGCTAGGAGTTCGAGACCAGCATGGCCAACATGGTGAAACCCTGTCTCTACTAAAAATACAGAAATTAGCTGGGTGTGGTGGCATGCCTATAATTCCAGCTACTTCAGAGGCTGAAGTAGGAGAATCTCTTGAACCCAGGAGGCAGAGGTTGCAGTGAGCCAAGATTGTGCCGCTGCACTCCAGCCTGGGTGACAGAATAAGGCTCTGTCTCAAACAAATAAAATATCAAAAAATGATAAAACAATTATCACTAACTTAAAAGAATAAAAACAAGCTTAGAAATACTAACAAAACATTATAGAGGCTTTCTTCAAAATAGAAATTTAAAAAATAAAGCAAATATTAAAAAACATAACGGTTAAATATATCAGCCAATTTGAAATAAGTAAAAAGGAAATTCATAAGCTAGAAGGTAAATGAGAAAAAAATTCTCAGAATGCCACCTAGTGAGGCACAGCGGTAGATATACTAAAAGCAGTCAAAAGAGATAGGGTTTAATACACATAAACTCACTTTCAAAAATATTAATAATTTCAATCCAAAATTAGAGGATTCTAATGAATCCTAAGGAAATTCCTCCAGAAGAAAAATTATTTTAGGTGGAAGAACTGAGATGCAAAAGGAATAAAGTACAAAAAAAATCAGTAAATATTGGTTTTGTGTAGATGAATCTTGGTTGTGTAAAAGAATAGCAGTTTCTCATGAGATTCAAAAGAGAAATGATCTATCCAACAACAACGTCACGTAATCAGTAAGTAAATAAGTGAATTGTGTTAGTTTGGGACCTCAAGAAGAAGATATTGAATGGGATTTAGACATGCAAGAGATTGATGAAGGAAAACATCTATGAAAGAAAAAGTGGAGCAATCAGAGAAGGTCGGGAGAACCTTCAGACCACAATATAATTCAGACACATATAAAAAGAGAAGAGGAAAAACTACAGGGTAAGGAAAGTATCAGACTGCAACACATGAAACATTTAAGAATGATTCAACCAGGCCTATGATAACTTCTCAAGCAAGAGTTGCCCATCAGAGAATTCTGCATTGGGTAGGAATGGGCTGACATTACAACCCCCATTGTGGTCAGTCTGGGGAAGGCATGGTAGTAGCCTAGGGGAAGTGTGGCCTTGGTATGAAATCAGTGAAGGGTCCAGAGAGGCCATAGCTGGGGCTGAAAGTCATCTATGCTCCACACAGCAGAAAATCTGAGATACATATTTCTATGACTATCACATGCAGTTATATTTGCTAATGTCCTTGTGTTTTGAAAAAGGAAGATAAAAATATTGATTAGGGTAGATTACACTAATAAATTAAGCATGGGCATTGTAATTTTTAGAGTAACCACTAACAAAAATTACTTCCAAACCAACAGAGTAGAAAAATCTTTATGAAATTTCTATTTCTTTTAAAATTGTTTTTAAAAAAATTTTCAGCATTTTCTTCCTCTAAGAATGAACACAGAAATATTTAAATGCCTTAGGAAGAATCCAACTTAGAATTTGAAATTTATTGGAAGATATATGTGGAATGCCTATGAATTTTCTTCAATAAATTTGGGTGAGTGAGACAAGGTCAAATGCCTTGAATTTTTATGATAAAACAAAAACAACTGTTTAAACTTTTTATTTTTGAAAAAATGAAATATTATATAATGGTAGTCATTTTTTATTGGACCTTAAAATTAAAACAGAACTTAAAATAGAACTTTATTTGGTGACAATGGATAAAGTGAAGCCAAATCATTATGTTGTGTCTTTACTGTGATTAATAGTAACCTGGACAAGCAATAAAGAGAAATGTGAAGATAGATAGATAGATAGATAGATAGATAGATAGATAGATAGATATACACACACACACATATATCTTCATATATATACATATTTTGTTGTTGTTTTGTTTTTGTTTTCCAATAAAAGGAAGCATAATCTTTCTTTAGGAGTGACAGACTCAAAAAAATCTTCTTGAACGGATAATGGACACATATTCAAGAAACAAGAATAATCTAATGGAATGTGTCATAGTTGTTTATTAGAATATGAAGAAATAATCATAATACATTTTTTGAATGGGCCAAGGGGTTCTTTACGATGCACTTAAGCAAAAGCTGATGTGCATTTTGATCAGCGCAGTTCTATTTTCATGTCACAGCAAGAAGATTTAACAAACTCCACAAGCACACCTCAGTTTTAATGACGATCTCTGTCTTCAGTTTCCAAATGTTTGTGACTCAGCTTCAGAATGGGATCGATGCTTTTTGATTTTCCCTAGGATGGCTTTCCCAGCTACCGTGGACAGTAGTTAGCAATCCTGGGCTTGCAACTGACCACACGATTCCTGTGTTGTGGACTGAACCTGACACTCTCCCCATCAATAACCCAAACATCTTGAGGAGTTAACAGATGTTTATAGATTCCATATTAGCAAGAAGCAGGTTTGAAAACCTTCCCTCATTACGAAGCTCTAAATGGATATTTTTGTTCTATTAAGACGTGGTTTATATACAAATGTTATGTACACAAATCTTGACTGGGCAGAATTCAGTCATACTTTATTTCCTGTTGTCCATTCATTTGTCATGGGGATATTTGATGGCAGAAGTGTTAGGAACCACTAGGTAATACTTTCTATTACCTTTGACCAATAATTCCTGTGCTTTTTCAGGTGGGGTATTAAGCCAGTTAGCGTTGCTCTTTCTCCTCCTGCCGTTCTCCTCCTTCTCCTCCTCCTCCCTGTTCTCCTCCTCCTCCCACTTCTCCTCCTCCTCCTCCCCCTTCTCCTCCTCCTCCCCCTCTTCCTCCCCCTTCTCCTCCTCCTCCCCCCTCCCCTCCTCCCCCCTCCTCCTTCTCCCCCCTCCTCCTCCTCCCCCCTCCCCTCCTCCCCCCTCCTCCTTCTCCCCCCTCCTCCTTCTCCCCCCTCCTTTCTCCTCCTCCTCCCCCTTCTCCTTGTCTTCCTGCCCACTGCTTCCCCTCCTCCTCTTCCTCTTAGTTCTCCTCCTCTTCCTCCTCATCTCCCTCCCCTACTCCTTTCCCTTTTCCATCTCCCTCTCTTTTTCTCTCCACTTCCTTCTTTCTCTGTCTCTCTCTACCCCAAGACATTTCCTGTACAGATCTCAGCAAGGCAAAGAAAGGAATACTTAAAAAAATGAATCCTGATTCTTTTTCATTTTGGTAAGGTGAAAGAAATTCTGACTCCTTCATGATTGAAGTTTTCAGAAAAAGTAATTTTATTAAACACTGTAATGTTGCTATGTTTCGAGATCATTCTTTTGAAAAGGAGAAACGACTCTCAGATGACACTTGGTGCTGTTCTGACAGCCAACAAGGGAGGCATCATTGTGATTCTGAGGGCTTTTCATGTCACTGAGGCTGTTCTAGGATTCTGATTGATTTTTAGTTTTTAAGGCTCCCTTTTATTAAAAGGGTACAGCTTGTTTTTCATATACTATAAAAACCCCATAAACTGTCCAAAGAGATAGTTGGGGGTTGTTTCATCCATCCTTCTAAATAAGTCATAAGATCTTTTTAGACAGCATTCAACACTATGATATCAGAACATGAGTCAGACATTCGCCAAGGTGGAACTTAAAATAGGAATTGTTTAATAAAGCAGAGTTAAGAAGATACAAGGCTTATTAATTTAGTTTAAATAAAATGAAATCCTGTATATGAAGTGACTAGCATAATTTCTTCATGGAGGTAGCAAACATTTGCTGGTTAACCTCCTACATCAAAGATTTACTTGCCTTTCATGGTTTGGTGATGAAGTGGGTGTGTACCATCCACCACCATCTATCTGTCTACACTGCCCTATCTATTTCCTGAGGTTGGTGAGTGCTGCTGCTCCAGCAGCTCTTCCCAAGTGGGATCCACAGAAACTTTGTATGATGCCTTGGCCAGTCCTCCACCAACCTCTTTGTTTCATGTAGTGGGGCAAGACCCAAGGAATTAGAGGGCCTTTCATAGGGCCAGATGGAATATCTGATACCTTTGTGCACAGCTCTGTACTTACTTCTCAGTACATAGCAGAGGTGGTTTGCAATTTTGGCAAAGCATTCTAAAGCCTGATGTTACTTTACTTTAGAATTAAAAACATCTATTATGAAAAATGGATTTAAATGATATGAATCATGTATACCTAAGCATAGATTTAGACTTATGCATCTTGCACTGTCTTTATATGCTTGAGTTTATATCAATTCAATCATCTTCATATTTTTCTTGGAAATATTATTTGATTTGGAAACATTGATTTAGTCCTGAGCATATTTATCTCAGTTCTTAACATTATGCTCGCTCTGCCCACGAGAGCTTCTTTTTGTGACATATTTGAGAAATGCTAAAGAAACATCAGTAATGCTTGGGCCATGAGACGTCAATCTAAAGTGAATAAGTGTCTGTTTTTATTAGCATCATTAAGAATTTCCTCATTAAATTACCAATACTGACTATTCTGTGGTTTAAAAGATAATTTTATGGAATGGTTTTATATTTATAATTATATTGCATAATTTTGTATTTTTTACTTTAAGTTTAAAAATTGCCTAACCTAATATATTGAAGGCATTTTTGAATTTGCTATATTTCTGACTAAAGACATAATAATCATAAGAAAAATGCTATTCTCACATATGTGGTTCTTTATATTGATTTTAGTCTTTTTACATTGTTTTCATTCACTAACTTTAAGTGAAATTTTAACTCATTGTTTTAATGGCTAATATTAGTATACAAACTGTTTTTAAAATTTTTCTTAAATAATTCTGTTTTCACAGTTGTGATACTGGTTTTTACATCCTTTCTAGATGACATTTAAACAATTTAGAGTACTGTAAAATTGTCTGTTCTCTGTTTCTGGATCAGCTGAAGATTGATGTGACTGAGGTTTGTATACATATCAATTCAGTTTTGTCCTTTGCCTTATGGGTTTTGTTTGGAGATAGTTCATCTAGCCTGAATAGCCAGTTTTGGACCCTGTACCGCTTTGTCTTCCTTAAGTGACCAATTTCAGATAAGTTATTGCTGCTTTAAAAGACCGGCTTATGTTTGTTTCATATTTTTAGTGATTGATTATGAAAGAAACATTGAGGGCTTTTTCAGACTGTCACATAACAACACAATGTTTTCTGTCTTATACTGGAGCTTCTGTTTTTGCTTCAAAACCATTTATAGGAAAAAATGATAAACTTTTTTATATAATCATAGTTCTTTGCCTTCTTTTTTATTTTTATTTTGTTGTAAAAGCTCTATTAAGTACTCTTGGGCTTAGTCAAGAAACCTGATACCCACTCCAGCCTTACTAGGAAGAATTTGTCTTCCTATTTTATATTATATCATTTTCTCTACATCCTCTGTAAAACACATTCCACATCCGCACTGAACTCCTTTTTCACAGCAAGGAAGGCAGGGTGCCTATCCTAGAGTTTCAGGTGCCTTAACTAAGCTCAAGGTAAATGGCTGTTTTTGCCACTCATATAAAACGGTAACCTCTGAAGATACAGAGGGAGGTTTTTTCTTTCCTGCATAGTTGACAATTTGGGGTGCATAAAGAAAGCATAAGTGATAGATAAGAAAAGAGGAGGTGATTCATTGAGACTTGTTGACTCCCACATCCCCAGCTTCACCTGAAGAGCTGGCTTTAAACCATGTTCATGAAAGCTTCTGGAGACTTTGGGACCAAGTGGCATATGTCTGGGGCCCAGAGAGTAAAATACCACCATATGTTTATGGAAGGCCATTCACCTCCTTCCTTCCAACACTCATGGCACAACTTAGGAACCCAGACGAAGCTGCAGTAACAAGCTTTCCCAGGAGGACACGTAGAGTGCTGCTAAGGCATCTTCATTCATGGGCCAGGCTCAGAGGATAGAGGAAGGTTTGTCGTTATGCACAGGTGTCCCATGACCCTGTGGATATCCTGACAATAGCAAGATAAATTTGAAGGTGGAGTCTAAAGACTATTAGGAGACATGAGCCATTAGACAGTGATATTAAAGGCCTAAGACATTTGGATTAAAAAGAATGAGATGATGGAGAAATTCAAAGCCATCAGAGGTGTTTAGTTTTCCTTAATGAGTCTCCAAAGTGGCTGACAAAGACTTCCTGATATTACTAGGAAACAGAATAATATAGTGATATAGTGTGCATATTTGTCCCCTCCAAATCTCATGTTGAAATGTAATCTCCAGTGTTGGAGATGAGGCCTGGTGGGAGGTGTTTGGGTCATGGGTGTAAATCTGTCATGAATGGCTTGGTGCCCTTGCCATGGTAATGTGTTCACATGAGATCTGGTTGTTAAAAAGAGTCTGAGACCTCCCCTTCCTCTCTTCCTCACTCTCTCGCCATGTGACATGCCAGCTTCCACTCCCTTGTGACATGACTAAAAGCTTCCTGGGGCCTCACCAGCAGGTGTGCAGATGCCAATGCCATGCTTATACAGCCTGCAAAACTGTGAGCCAAATAAGCCTCTTTCTTTAAAATTATCTAGTCTATAAAGGTATTCCTTTACAGAAATGCAAAACAGACTAATACATACAGTTTTCACATATTTATTATTAAAATATCCAGTATTTAGTACTTCATTCAATAAGAAACTCTTGTCAGATAGTACATTGTAAAATGTACACACACATACACAGAAACACAATATTTTTATAAATTTCTCAGATGTAACAAAATATAACAAAAGGAGAAGATTCACAGATGAGTACTGTTTAGAAATTTTTCTTTAAAAGTTAACTTGAAAAGGGTTAAAAATAATTAAGTTCACCAAAGAAAGGACTAGTCAAGATGTCTCAGAGAGTAATTTATCCAATAAATGAGCTACATTAATTACATGTGCTCTGAATAAGTTAACATTATTCAGAAGGACTAAGGAAATATTTGAAGTTAGATTAACTAGACTTTGAAATTTAGTGGTATCTTAATATTTACTTTGTAAAGCCACTTCGAAGTGTTTGCATCATAGATACTATAATCAATTTCAAAAATATTTATGAAGTATCTACTATATGCATGATATTGTTTTATGAAGGTATATCAGAGAAGAAAACAGACAAATATCTTTGCCCATATGAAGTCTGCAGTCTGGCAGGGTGACAGAAAATAAACAATAAATAATAAAGCTAAAAAAGATGTACACTATAGATGTATATTTTAGAAGGTGATAAATGCTATGGGAAAAGAAAAATGAAAGAAGAGTAAGGGAGGTTATGTTTACTATGTAGCCTCATTGAGATGTTGTTTGTGCAAAGAGTTGAAGAGAGTTTCCTGCTGTAAATTCACATAGCTTAAAGTAAACTCCAAAGATATATAGCTTATATAGCTCAAAGTAAACTCCAACAGTATGCTTCAACCATAGATCCTCCTATTCCAAATTGCAATTCTTATCCTGCTGTTATGAAAACAGCATAGCATAAAAAGCAAAGTAAATTATTTTTTTCATGATTTATCCTTCTTGAATCTTGACTGTTCAGCAGTATGCAACTAAAATGGTTTCACCTTGGTAAGAATGTCTTTTCATTTCTCTTGACAGCATCAGCTAATCCAAAGTGTTCCATCAAAAAATATGAGCTAGCACTAAACTTTTTCAGATGGGTCTTAGTCAAGAATATGAAGGTGGAAATGATTATACAAATAAAAACAAAACAACTCTCCAAAGAGTAAAAATTATAAAATCTTAAGTTCAGTGCACAGTTATGAGAATATAATTCCCCATTATCATAAAGTTAAAGATAAATACTGTTCTACCATTTAAAAATATGATTTCTGTGTGCCAGGTAAATAAATGCAGAAAATTATACACATATTAAGGAATGTGAGCTGAATCAACTTTCATTTACTTCATCTCTGTTTTCTCATTTGAAGTCCAAAGTTTACATTACTGACTTTCAACATCATTGGCAAGTATTTGTTCATTCAGTGATATGTGACAAGCCCTGTTACCTTATTGGGTTAAGATTTGGTTTCTGGTTTTCCTGATCAGATGAGACTAGCCCTTTCCCTGTTTCTCTTTCCCATTCACATTATGCTTTCAGGCATAATCCCTTCCAAGGATCTTGTCAGGTGCTCAAATCTGTCTTCTCATTCAACTGAGTACTTCATCATGGACAAGTTCCCCAGGCCTACATGAGTGGAGGTAATAATGTAGAAATTACTCCATAATATGTGAGCTGTCAAATTGGAAGTCAAAATATTCACATGAAGACAACAATATAAACTGATAAATCATGTTCCTTGTAAGCAGAGAGAGAAAGACATTTTCAAAGATGTCTGTTTTCAAAGTCACCTGTAAGAGATTTAAAACTTTGATAGGGCTGGGTGCAGTGGCTCACACCTGTAATCCCAGCACTTTGGGAGGCTAAGGCGGGTGGATCACCTGAGGTTGCGAGTTTGAGACCAACCTGACTACCATGGAGAAACCCCATTTCTACTAAAAATACAAAATTAGCCACGCATGGTGGCGCATGCCTGTAATCTCAGCTACTTGGGATGCTGAGGCAGGAGAATCACTTGAACCCAGGAGCAGAGCTTGCAGTGAGCTGACATTGTGCCATTGCACTCCAGCCTGGGCTACAAGAGTGAAACTCCATCTCAAAAAAAAAAAAAAAAAGAAAAAAAACAACTTCGATAGGCAGTGGAATCTTTTTTGAGAGACGTGAAAATTGAACTGGCTCATAAATCTATAGTCATGAGAAATTGTCCCCCTGCCAACCCACCATGGGTGCTAAAAGTACCCAGATGTCCTGAGGTCAGCAAACAGCTTATTGTTTTCTTGACATGCAGTGTATACATCATTACCAGGACACCATGGCTTACATTGCAGGACTACGAGTTTCCCAGGATTACGCCGGTCATGTAGAGTAAGGCTTGAGCATCTGTTCCTCGCTAAATATTTTTATTTTGGGGGGCCATGATTTTGTTTTGGAAGAGACCTATACATCAGAAATCTTTTAGGGAGTTGCATCTATCCTTGGACATTTTTTTCCATCTCAATAAACTTGTCTTCAAAGTTTCCCAAAACCTCCTTAACTGATACAAAATATTTAATAGAAGATTATTAATCAAACTTACTGCATTTTTTACTTTCTGCTACCTTTTTTCTTCAAACTTGAATAGAAGAGCAAGAAATAGTGACAGGCCCATCAGAAACTCTGAACCCCAAGCATTGTCCATTGGCAATATATATCAAATGCTAAACACAGTACCTGGCTCAAGTAAGCACTCAATAAATGCAAATCTATCATATTTATGATATAATGGTTTTTGATAAAGAGGTAAAGCAAATATAGGGATGATGGGCATTATTATTGCAATATCATAGGCTAACAGGTTGCCTTTTGAAGGAGTTAGATTTAATATGTTAAGGGAAGTTGAGTTACCTACGTAGTAATTCACTATAATATACTGTGTTAGAATAAGTTCTATTTGTCTCGTTTCGTTCCTGATGCTGTGTATAACTAATAGAATCTCAGCATTTAATTATTTCTCTTAACATTTTATTGAGTAAATAGTCTCAAAATATACAAAACTAGAGAAAATTATGATGCATTTCAAACAATTTCCAATTGTTCCATGATTCAATAATTATTATCTCACATTCAGTCTTGCTCCATCAATATCTCCACCTGTTCTTTGAGACACAAATTATTTTAAAGCCAGTATCAGTGTGATATGATTTCATCATAAATGCTTCAGTATGTATTTTATGCTGATAAGACTTTTAAAAATTGTAACCGTAATATTATCACACCTAAAAAATCAATAATTTTTTTAAAAAACGAGTGAATTCAGGCCAGGCATGATGGCTCACATCTGTAATCCCAGCACTTCAGGGGTCTGAGGCGGGCAGATAACTTGAGGTAAGGAGTTCAAGAGCAGCCTGGCCAACATGGTGAAACCCCATCTCTATTAAAAATAGAAAACTAAGATGAGCCTGGTGGTGGGCACCTATAATCCCAGCTACTCAGGAGGCTGAGGCAGGAGAATCACTCAAACCTGACAGGCGGAGGTTGCAGTGAGCCAAGATCGTGACACTGTGCTCCAGCCTGAATGACAGAGCAAGACGCAGTCTTCAGAAAATAAAAATAAACAAACAAAAAAACAAACAACAACAACAAAAAACTAGTGAATTCTGTATAGCAGCATAAGGAAATGGGCACATCTGTCTTTGCAAAGCAAACAAAAAAAAAGAAGTAAAAAACTGAACAAAATTGTCAAAACAACAATTTCAGCTGTTGAAAATCAACCATGTAGAAAACAAATTGGGAAGCATTATTTCTTTAAAAACTGCTAGAAATTTGAGTTCTTGCCTGGGACTTCTCTCATCTTCTTTCAGGGAGCATGGCCATGGAAAAGTGTAGCTTCCCAGTGTGGGTGGGTTTGGCCATATAAAGTATCATATTTGCTGCAAGGGAGAGAGAAGCTAGAAGGACAAGCTTTGTCTGCTAAATGTGGTAAATTTGGTAAAAAATGACAAGGGAAAACTCACAGCTTTGCTAGGTCTGGTTGTGGTCTCACATCTAGAAAACGGGAGAGCCATAGAAAAGCTGAAATAGGCTCTTCATACATCTTAGGCGAACTGGAAAACTACATGCATACATGAGGGAGACTCTAGACAGCCCAGGGAAAAATTAAAACCCAAGTCATACTTGGAGCTGAGGGAACAGTTTAATGCACTTACAAGACTCCACAGAGACTGATCTACAGGACCATAATAGTATGAAGCATTGAAACACAAACTCTACCCAAGTCATTGGCTGAGTACTTTGCTATGCAGACGGAAGAGTGGATCATAGGAAATTAGGCTAAAAAATGAAAGAATTCTTAAAAATTGTGCAAAGATATCAGTGGACAAATAATGTAAGGACAAAGATCTTGAAAATTAAGTCCAGGCAAGTTACCAACACAAAACAAAAGCAAGGAATAAGAAAAGAATAGTAAAAAAAAAATTCAACTCTCAGAAAAATAAAAACTAAACCCAAGACTGCTACATGATACTGTCTAAAGTGTTTGGTTTTTAAACAAACATTATGAGATATACGAAAGAATGGCAAAGAAAGCAGCCAATAAAAATAGATTCCCGGATGGGCCCAGAAGTTGGATTTAGCAAACACTCCAAAGAAGCCATTATATATATATATATATATATATATATATATATATATATATATATATATATATATTCCAATAATGAAAGAAAACTATGACAATGGCTGGACAAATAGGGAATCTCAATAGGGAATTATAACTATAAAAAAGAATCAAATTTTAGAGTCGAGGAATACGATGACTGAAATGGTCTCAGAAGCAATTTTGAGGTGCTAGAAGAAAAAAGTCAGTACATTGAATATAAAGCCATAGAAGTTCAAAGAACAGAGAGAAAAAAGATTGGAGATGAAAGAAAAAGTGAACAAAATCTCATCCTATGAGAACATCGTCAAACACACTGACATATGGATAGCTGAAGTTCTAGAAGAAGAAGAGAGAGAGAAAGGAGTAGAAATAATGCCAAAAACTTCCCAGATTTGATTTTTAAATATTAATATGACAAAAACTCAATAAATTCTAACTAGGATAAACACAAAGATCTACACCTACACTCACCAGAGTTGATCTTAAAGCCAAAAATAAAAGGAAAATGTGAAAAGTAGAAAGAGAAAAATGTCTTTGTACAGGAGAGCAACTTTATTCATTTTTAAGGTGGTATACCTTAAAAAAATTAAACATTTTCTGTCAACTATTTGGTTACCTAGTGGGATAATGCTTACAGAAAAGGCAGGATAGATCTTGAACAATTCCTCTTTATTCATTACCAATTCCATTTTTTAAGCAATTTTCAAAATAATGAGTTGCCTTCTGAGCATTCTCCAGTGAGATTTTTTCCCCTCCTTTTGTTTGACTCCTTTTTTTTTTTTTTTTTTTTTTCCAGATGGAGTCTCACTCTGTCGCCCAGGCTGGAGTTCGGTGGCGCGACCTCAGCACACTGCAAACTCTGCCTCCCGGGTTCAAGCAATTATCCTGCCTCAGCCTCCTGAGTAGCTGGAATTATAGGTGCCTGCCACTATGCCTGGCTAATTTTTGTATTTTTGGTAAAGACAGGGTTTCACCATTGTAGTCAGGCTGGTCTCGAACTCCTGACCTAGTGATCTACCAGCCTCGGCCTCCCAAAGTGCTGGGATTACAGGTGTAAGCCACCCAGCCCGGCCTCAACTCCATTTTTTAAATTATTTCAAAAGTAATTAATAGAAGCTTTAATTATTTTTAGATTGTTGCCTAGATAATTTTTATTAACTCTCTTAAATGATGTCTTATTTTTCATCATATCTTCTAACTAGTTTTGGTTTTATTATAAAAGGCTGTTCATTTCTGTTCCATGATTTTATAACATACAATTTTATTTAAAATCTTATATAATTATAGTAACTTACCATAGATTATTTGAAGTTTCCAGATATTAATCATATCTTTGGAACATTGAATTAGTTCTACCTCTTCATTTCCAATTTTAATGCAGTTAATTTTCTTGTCAGTTACGTTGGCTGATAGCTTCAATGCAATATTAAATAACGTAGATATCGTTAGCATCCTTTCTTTTCTTCTTCCTGACTTTATCAGGCAAGTTGGCTTTGAGATACATACACACATACAAGTATAAATGTATGATAGTTGTGTGTGTTTGCATGTATGTATACCTGATAAAGAGACAGTTAATGAAGTAACCACTAATTACTACCTTAATTGGCACTTTCAGCAGGAAGTAGAGTTGAATTTTTCAAGTCTTGTCAGATTTTATGGCAATAGTTAATGTTTTTTTCTCCTTAGCCTTATAACTATGATGATTAGTATTAATAAGTTGCCTTAGGCAACTTATTATGACCCTGCAATTCTGAGATACAACTCACTTGATCATAATGTATCTTTTTTAAATGAACTGTTTACTTCTGTTTGATAATTTAAATTTAATATTTTTACATTGCTATTTATAAGTGAGTTTGGGCTAATTTTTTCTCAGTCGTTTTCAGGATCTCTCTTTATAAATAATTTGGAAGTTTTTCTTTATTTTCTGTGCTCTGGACTAATTTAAGTAGCATTAGGGTTGTCTGACTTTTAAAGGTTCAGTAAAATTTCGTCTACTTTTTTTTCTGTAGCAATTTATCTGTTTAGAATCTCTGTCTCTACTGTGGTCAGATTTTGTAGGTTGGATTTCTGTACAAAATCATTAGTTTATCAAAGTATGCAAGTTTATTTGCATAATTACTTATTTAAATTAACTAATAGTCATATTTTTTTAAGAATTAAAATGTAAGTTCATTATTTCTACTGTTTCTATTTTCTAAAATTAATTTCTGCATTTCCCTAATAGTTCATGATGTATACTTTCTTTTGGTTTACTATTTTTGTCTTTCTATGTTTTTGAGTTGGAATTTAATTTACACATTTTAATTTTTGATATAAATATTTAATGTTTTAAGTTTACTCAGATAACTAAGATATATTCCATAGCTTCTGATACTATTTTCATTTTCAAGTATTTTTGTAATTTAGTTTTATATATTTTGACATAATTGTTATTTAACAGCATATTTTAAATTATTGGTGTGGAGAGACCTTGTCTTAATTTATGCAGGCTGTTATAGCAAAAATGCCATAAACTGGGTGACTTATAAACATGATAAATTTATTTCTTACAGTCTAGAAGCTGGGAAGTCTAAGATCAAGGTGCCAGAAGATTCAATGTCTGGTGAGAGCTTGTTCCTCATAGATAGTGCCTTCTATGTGTCCTCATGTGGATACAGGGCCTAGCTTGCTCTCTGGGGTCTCTTTTATAAGGGCACTAATCTCATGTGTGAGGGCACAGCCTTTATGACCTAATCACCTCCCAAAATCCCCACCTTCTAATACTCTCACAGTGGGGATCAGGTTCCCATATATGAATTTTTGGAAGATACAAATATTCAGACTATAGCAGGCCAATTTTATTTCTTGATTTGGTTTTATTTGTATTATTTCAATTGCTTGGAAATTATTAGGTTCTATATGTGTACTAAGAAAAGGTCAGTATTTGCAAATGTTACATGCCCTTTTTAAAATGCATACTTTCTATCTTCAAGGTTTACAATTTGATGAGTTTCTAGGTAATATGTTGTTTAGATCTTCTGTATACTATTTTTTTCCACTTGATTGTCTTGGATTGAGAGAGATTTATAAATATTTGCATCTGCTGTATCTTCTGCTATGATGTATATTGTTGCCCTATTATAAGTTACATAAATATGAACATCTCTTGAATATATTCATTTTAAGTGTCGCATTTGTTTGTTTCTTTTAATGCTTTTTTTTGGTCTGCATTCTTCGTTGATAGTAAGATTAAGACCCTCTGACCATGAGTTTCCTTTGTCCTGGCATATATTTGTCCATCTTATATTTTTAACACTTACGATTCTCTTTGTTTTAAATATGTCTCTTGTATATAGTGTATTGCATTTTGTTTCATAGCCTATCAGAAGTATATTTTCTTCTTCTTCTTTTTTTTTTTTTTTTTTTTTTGGTGGACTTTCGCTCTTGTTGTTCAGGCTGTAGTGCAATGGCAAAATTTCGGCTCATTGCAACCTCCACCTTCTGAGTTCAAGCGATTCTCCTGCCTCAGCCTACCAAGTAGCTGGGATTACAGGCATGCGCCAACACGCCTGACTAATTTTGTATTTTTAGTAGATACAGGGGTTCTGCATGTTGGTCAGGCTGGTCTCGAACTCCCGACCTCAGGTGATCTGCCCACCTTGGACTCCCAAAGTGCTGGGATTACAGGCGTGAGCCACCACACCTGGCTGAAGTATGTTTTCTTAATAGTTTAACAAGGTTAATTGACATTTATTAATACTATCAAAATGTTTGACCTCAGTTCTACAGTAGTATTTTATAGAGAGATAAACTGATACTCACATGTATATACATTTGTACATATACATTCATACACACACCAATGCATGTACAAATATATGTTTGTAATACCTATCGTCTACCTATCTATACTTCTGGCTATTGGCACATATTTGCATTTTAGTCTATTTACTTGAATATTGCTTTTATTCTCCTCTTTTATAGGATCTTATGTTTTTGGTTTTTACCTTGTTATATCAATTATTATTATTGATATTAGCTAGTAATTCTTTCTTCTCTATCTTCCTTTTCCTTTACAATATAATTTGAAAAATATATATTTTTAAATCTCAGTTGGTAATCTTGTTCTTTGTGCTTACATTCTCCTTATTCTGCAAAGTGTTACTGTAGCTGCATTGTCACTTTAGGAAAGCATATAACCACTTTGTCCATATAATATAATATTGATATCCCTTTAGTGATTCTAATTTCATGAAATTCACACTCAAGTAGATATGCTAGGAAGTGCTCATTGGAAAAATACTCCTTAAATTTCTCTGTCTTCATAACAGTTCATTTAGAACCTTTAAACTTGAAGGACATGCTGGCTAGGTATAGAATTCTGGTAATTTATTTCTTTGAGTATCTCAAATATGTTACTTCATTGTCTTCTGGTATAGTTTTGCTTTCACAAAATGAAATCAACCTGATATTATTTCCTTAAAATTTATCTTTATAGCAGACACTAGATGCCCTTTAAGAAGATGGTACACTCATCCCCCAGCTGCTGTGAGTGTTGGCTGCCAAAAACAACTGCTCATTTTCTCCAGAGGATTGCTCTTAGCTGATCGGGACCATCTTGCTGGGAGGTAGTATCCTCCTTTGAATATGGCCAACAGCTAATGACTCACTCACAGAAGACTATAGTACATACATAGTCTTTTGCACAGAAGACTTTCTTAAGTACTGTGTATTAAAAGACTAGACCTCTTGCCTAAACATAGAGACAAATCTCCAATGTGCATATCCTCCAAGGCACTCTTCCTCCTCTACACCTTGGACTATATCAAGCCTAAATTCTTACTCATGGTCTTCTTTCCTACCCAGCTTTCCTCACTCCTTCATAGATTTTGCTTTTTACTAAAGAATATATTCTCAATAAATCACATATACCCAAATTTCTGTCTCAGGCTGTGTTTCTAGGGAATCACCCCTTTTCAAACGTTCCTTTTCTTCATTCACCTCATTTCTGAGTAATGTTTCTAGTTTATGGTGCTTTTTCATTGATTATATTACTTTTTAGACTTTCCTTAATGCTTTGTGAAATATTACTCTTTTCACTTGTGTAACAGGTATTCTTTTAAAATTACCTTCACTGTCTAATGGTTATTTTGCTCCTTAGTTTCTTTTTTCCTAAAGTAATGTATAAGTTTCAACAGCAATATATGCCTTTGTTCATTTAGATGAGTAATTTTTTTTAATTTTAGGAGGAAAGGTAAACTAGAATTGCTTCTTCTACCTTCACAGCTCTTGAGATCCTTTGTCTGATTCATTTTCAAGGTAATTAAAATTATGACTATAATTGCTGAAATATGCCAGCTTCTTCTTTCCCAGTTTTAGATGAAACTTCGTATTTTTCCCTACTATTTTTCCATTCTACCTTTTTCAATTTCTCCATAGTATAGATTATATTGCTAGCAGTTTCTCTCAGGGAGACTATCCTGAAAGGGAGCTTTAGTTTGTTTCCAGCGTTTAAGAGGCCCAGATAACCCCAGTGCCATCTGACCTTTTGAGCCACCCCACACAGTCATGAATTGATGCCTGTCTACCTCTGTCTCAGTTTCAGTTAGTCTTCTCTGATTGGACATGTGGTTTTCAGGGAGTAGTTGTTTATGACAATGTTGGGGGAGTGGTGGTTCTTTGGTTTTCAGCATAGTTGTAATCATGTTACCATCTCTCTAACTCTTCCGGCTCAGTTGCTGATTCCTTGTTGATTTTATTGTTGTCATCGATTTGTCTCTATCTTCTCAAGTTTGAGGGTTAGTGATGAGACATTTTTGCCTAATTTTGTTGTATCTGTTGACTCTAGGTTTTGGGATTTCTGGTCTAATTGCTGTGTGGTTTATGGTACAATTTAGGGAGATTTAAAAGCTATACCATCACCATCTTTCCAGAATACTCCAAATTTGGCTATATTTAGTGTTTATGTTTAAAGAGGAAAAACTATATATAATATGTATGTATGGGTGTACACAAACACACACAGAGAGAGAGAGAGAGCAAGAGAGAGAACAAAAAGTGGAACAAACTTCCAACATCTGGCAAACTGAGTTAATGATTTGGATTACCAATTTGGGTCTTACTGATTAGCTCTGGAGGCCTGTAAGATTTATGAACTGCTTGGCTTGTAAATTGAAAAGGCCAGGAGATTTCCAGACTATTTCATGAATTAATGTTTAACACCCTTAGCTTAATGGATATTTTTGTTTCTAAACTTTATGACATGCCAAATTGATGCATAAAAGGAGTCTAGAATTACAGGTAGTAGGGAAAAATGCATACAATTCAAATGTGGCTTAGTTTCTCTGCCACCAAAAAGCCTTGGGTTTCTTCCTTGAATTCTATCTTCTTTAATACTGTTGGTGTATTCAATAGGTTTCTGAGAAACTTTGTAACATTTTTTTGAGATTGGGTCCCTTGGAAGGTTAGAGAGAGGGAGTAAGTGTTAGCCTAGGTACAAGATCATAGCTTTTAAAAGTATGTTGTTACGATCTTGTCACCTTGTGAAAAGAGAAATAAGAATCATGCTGATGTGTTTAGGTTCAGACACTCAGACTGCCTGTGCTTAGGCTTGTATTTAAGTTAAAAAGCACTTTCAGCAAAAGCTCAAATTGTTTTAATTTCAAGTTTTTAGTGAACCTCTTACTCTCTGATGAGATAAAGCCCTTAAGCCAATAAAAATTAAACTTCTTCTCTGTGGATTAGGTGTTCAGGTTAAATAAACCTCTACCAGTAGTATAGACATCTCTGGGTAGCGAAGCCCATGGGAAGCAAGGCCTGCCTGCCCAGATGTGGCCCAGTGGAGTTCTGTGGATGTTGTTCCAGATGTTGCTCTAGCCCTGGAAACCAACTCTATTCTTCCAATACCTTTCCAGTCCCCTTTCTTACCCTAGAACAAGGGGTGGCAAACTTTTATTTTAAGGGCCATAGAGCAACTCTTTAATTCTGCTGTTGTAGTGAGAAAGCAGCCATATACAAAAACCATGCCTGTGTTCTCATAAAACTCTCTTTACAAACATAGTTGGCAGGCTACATATGGCCTGCAAGTCATAGTTTCCAATCCTCACACTAAAACAAGAATCAAATTAGAGGGTGAGGCCTAGCCAAGTCACAACACAAAAACAGCATTTAATACAAAGACCATTACTGACAACTTCCATCTTAAGAAAGGAGATGCCATTCACAGAAAAGGAGCATGCTTTGGGACCAAGTTTGGGAGAATGGGATTGTGGGTACCAGCGGGAGCAGGAAAAAGTCATTTCTTCACTTTCCTTTCTTATGTACTATATATTAAGAAAAGTCCTTTACCTTATGTATAGCTCTTTGTGTTGTACAATGAAACTATATGGGCAGATTAGAGAGAAATGTGAAGATTCCTTTGATGAGCTAACAAAAAACCCTTTTACAATGCTAATGCCTTCCAAGGCAAATTACAACAGAAGTGGCTATTTGCTTGGCTAAATCCACCATTTATTATATCAGTGATGCAATATTTTGTGAGAACAGAGACTTGGAAGTAGGAAGAGAATATGGTCTCTCCCCACTTCCTTCTCAACTCCTAAAAATGGAAAATAAAGGCATAAAAAATATCTAGAGCTTAATAGCAGCATTAGAAATTTCAACCCAATAGGACCGAAAAGGACTATATGATTATTGTGAAAGTTTTTTGAAACAGTTTTTCCTTAAGTGTATAACAGAAAGTCACATATCCTTTAAATAAAAATATGAAGTAAAATTTGTTTGAAATGGACTTTATAATGGGGACGTAAGAAAGAACAAGACTTGGGACCATTTTTGGTAATTTTTATGCATGAGAAGTCTAAGACATCTTGTGAATTCAATCTATATGTTGGGAAAATGTAGGTATGGTAAATAGATTTTGAATTTTCAATACCTGGTTAAAAAAATAAGAAGTGATTAAAAAAGATCAATTTTAAAACAGTTCTGTTTCCCAAATTGACAGCAAAACGTCTAATTATTAAGTTTATAAATATCCCATTTTTCTTGGTCTCTGCCTTACCATTTCACATGTGGGACTATCTATTATTATAAATAGAAAAAATTTCCCCCATGCATACTTTTCTTACGTAAATCAGATGTATGCTACCTAAAAGTCTCACTAACAGAAAATAAGGCAGTACTCACTAGGGCAGATGGTATAAGGAACTTGAAAATTCCTGGTGCTGCCAAAATTCCAGTTATTGGACCAAAAGCTGGGCATTATTGCAATCAGTGTGTTGAAGAGACATCTGCACACCCATGTTCACTGCAGCACTATTCACAATAGCCAAGATATAGAATCAACCTAAATGTACATCTACAGATAAATGAATAAAGAAAATGTGGTATATATCCCACATTGGAATACTATTCAGCCATAAAACAGAATGAAATCCTTTTATTTGCTGCAACATAGATGAGCCTGGAGAACATTATGTTAAGTGAAATAAGCCAGGGACAGGGAGACAAACACTGCATGATCTCACTCATATGTGTAATCCAAAAAAGTTGATTTCAGAGAAATAGAGAGTAGAAGAGTGGTCACTAGAGGCTGGGAAAGAAAGTGGGGAAGTCTGAGAGAGACTGGTAACCAGGTGCAGAGTTACATTTAGACAGGAAGAATACGTTCTGGTGTTCTATTACACAGTAAAGTGACTATATCAAATAATAATTTGACGTATATTTCAAGGCAGCTAAGATAGAAGATTTTGAATGTTGTCATCACAAAGAAATGATACATATTTATGGTAATATATATGGTAATTACCCTGATGTGATAACTATACTACATATACATGTGTTGAAACATCATATTGTACCCCATAAATATGTATAATTATTTGTCAGTTATAAATTCAAAAAAATGTTTTAAATTATGACTGAGATTACAGGTTATATAGAAAAATAATGAAATATTTGTCTGATCACTAATAAGCAAGTAGCTTTGTGAACAATTTCACGTTATCCTTTTTCAGCCGGGTGCTTTGGCTCATGCCTATAATCCCAGTACTTTGGGAGGCCGAGGTGGGTGGATCTCCTGAGGTAAGGAGCTCGAGACCAGCCTGGCTGACATGGTGAAACCCCATCTCTACTAAAAGTACAAAAATTAGCTGGGTGTGGTGGCATGCACCCGTAATCCCAGGTACTCGGGAGGCTGAAGCAGGAGGATTGCTTGAACCCGGGAGGTAGAGGCTGCAGTGAGCTGAGATCATGCCATTGCACTCCAGCCTGGGTGACAAGAGCAAAAACTCCATAAAAAAAAAAAAAAAAACACCTTTTTCAAATTGATTATTTTGACAGTAAAATAATATTTTCATAAAACAACCTGTTAATTCCAGTAATCCCCAAGAAGAGTGAGCGTAACACAATTCCAAAAGTAACATAGAAGGTTTTAAACTTATTATTAGAAGTTGGACAATTACATAGGGTAATATATCAAGTCATGGAGTGTACAGTTTTTATGGTTGAGCTTTGAAAAGTACCATATTATCCCTGTTCAAACAGAAGTTGGAAACCTCTCCTCCAGGAATGAAAAGACTTTCAGGCTGGATACATTGTTTACCAATGTCTGTTCAACAACCCTCAATTTCAAAACACTAAATCTGTCTTCTTCCTTGGTATTAGGAAGCATTTTTTTTTTTTTTTTTTTTTTTTTTTTTTTTTTAGTGATAGAAGGTAGAAAATGAGCATTTGGTGCTGATGTAGAGACTGGTGAAAATAACACAACATGCGATAGCTCTCAGAAGCAAAAAGTATTATTGATCATGTTCTATGATGAAACCAAACATTGCATAGTTCCCTCAATAATCAAAGGTATGGCCGGGCATGGTGGCTCACGCCTATAATCCCAGCATTTTGGGAGGCCGAGGTGGGTGGATCACTTAAGGTCAGGAGTTTGAGACCAGCCTTGCCAACATGATGAAACCCCGTCTCTACTAAAAATAGAAAAATTAGCCGGGAGTGGTGGCGAGCACCTGTAGTCCCAGCTACTCGGGAGGATGAGGCAGGAGAATCACTTGAATCTAGGAGGAGGAGGTTGCAGTGAGCCAAGATGATGCCACTGCACTCCAGCCTGGGCAACAGAGCAAGACCCTGTCTCAATCAATCAATCAAGTGTAATCTTATTTGTGTTAAGTCTTTAAAACATTTATACAGATTTAACCATTGTTTAAACTACATTTTCATTCAATTTAAAGAGTCCTGAAACCTAAATATGAGTTGTATTATGTTTTGATGAAGTAGAAAAAAATGTGAAATTTTTAAGAAATATTTTTTCTTTTGAAGATTTTTTTAAAGAAAAAACAGCTTATTGAGGTATGATTGGTATGAGAAGCTTTACATATATTATGTATACAATTTGATGAGTTTGGAGATAAGTATATACCCATGAAACCATCATAACAATCTGTGTCATAAAAACCTATCTATCATCTCCAAATATTTCCTTCTGCACTCTTTATTATTTTGTGTGATAATAACACTTAACGTAAGATCTACCCTCTTAGCATTTTTTTTTTTTGAGACAGAGTCTCACTCTTGTCATTCATGCTGGAGCACAGGGGTGCAATCTCGTCTCACTGCAACCTCCGCCTCCCGGGCTCAAGACATTACAGGCGTGTGCCACCATGCCCGAGTAATTTTTTTCTTTTTTTTGTATTTTTAGTAGAGACAGCATTTTGCCATGTTGCCCAGGCTGGTCTCAAACTCCTGAGCTCAGACAATCCACCTGCCTAGGCCTCCCAAGGTGCTAAGATCACAGCTATGAGCGACTGCGCTCAGCCCAAATTTTTAAGTATATAATACAGTGTTGTTAACTACAGCCACTATGTTATACAGTAGATCTTTAAGACTTACTCATTTTGCACAACTAAAATGTTGTACCCTTTGACCAACACCTCCCTCTTTCCTGCTCTCCCAGCCCCTGGTAACCACCCTTCTACTCTCTGCTTATATTTTAGATCCCTAGTATAAGTGGGATCCTATAGTACTTGTCCTTTTGTGTCTGGCTTATTGCACCTAGAACAATGTTCTCTAGGTTTCTTCATGTTGTTGCAAATGGCGGGAGTTCCTTCTCTTTTAAGGGTCAATAACATTCCACACATGTATATATCACAGTTTCTTTATTAACTCTCAAACTTTTTAGATTTAGAAAAGGAATTTAAGGAAGTATACTACTTCTTCTAGCTGTCAAGTTTTGAAACATCCCCCATTTTTTAAAGATGTTAAACAGTACAAAATTTCCATTTTAGATAAAAATATATAGTTTTACTTTGAAGTTCCTCAGAAAGAGGTTTCCTAATATTTGTACTGAACTTGTGCTAAAATTTTTTAGAGAAATAATAATTTTCAATTTGAAAACCAAATTCAGCAAATTATTGCATTTACCAGTCACCTCTATATCTGAGATATTCATTTGATACCACTTCTAATATTTCAGTATTATCTTCAATTTCTTAGGGCTCACAGAATCTATGCTAACATGCAATTCAACCTATCTTTTATGAACTACATAACCTTCTCAATGTATTGCTTATAAATGCATTGAAATAGTGTCATTTATTTTGCAGACGTCAGAATACTATTGTGTAAAGAATTATCAATATTCACACAATTTTGGAACTCCTCAATTTTTTGTCAGAAACTAATTTAAATTACTTTTAAATGATAATTATGACATTATATGTAAAAAGGTCTTTGCTCTGCCTTCCTAAACTTTGGAGAAACCATTAGACATCTACCCATTATCAACATTATCATTATTTCTGACCACTCAATTATGTGAAAATTAACCCTGATTTGCTGCAGATGCATTTTTATAACTCTGTTTAGGTTAGTGTCAGTCATCTCTCTGATAAAATGGAAATGAAGAGACTGTCTTTAATTAAGACAGTCTTTGGTGCTTTATGAAGGCATTTTACCCAAAGTGACAGCCAGACCACTATTATTCCAGTGGTTATTGTATCACATTCAGTTGAGTTAATGGAAACAATACATTCATACTTTCTGCATCATTCTGGATGTTATTATCTACATGGATTTATTTTTCTGCTTGCAGAATTGTTCAGATCATTCTGTAAGCTCATAAATGCAAACATTTCTTTTTATATTTCTGGTTCCGAACAACTAAAAAAAAGTTTTCTTTACAAATGGAATAGATTCATCGTATTCCTTTAACAGTGAGCACTATTTCCTAGCAAACAAATATTGTCAACATTGAATGTCAGGTTTTTTCCATTTGCTTCAATGTGTTTTGTGTGAAAAGATCATTTATCTGCAAGAGTTCCATCACAAAATCTACTCTCATTCCAAAAGCCATGGTTTCAAATGCATACTACTTTTTCATGGGTTCTAATTTTCTGGTATTATTTTTTCCATTGGAAATTTCTGGTTTTGTTTCCAAATAATTATAGATGCTTAGAAAAATACATCATAACTACAAACCAACTAGACAAAAATTCAAATATTAAAAGAGCAAAGCAAGCACAAAGTGTTTTTAAGCTGTACAGTGTTGACATGAATAAACAGGTTTATGTGGAGAGGTTATGCAATTAAAATGTCAACTATTTTTCATTTGTTTGTGTTTTCTTTTTTATAATTTGATTTATATCTTAATAAAAAGTCTTTTTTACACTCACAGAACAAACAAAATCACTGCTATATTTCACAGTTTGTGTAATTATTGATTTGTAAATTTTTATATATATATTTTTTGCACTGTGGAGAGTAATAGCAGCAAGTGTTGTGGCTGCAGAGAATAACATAGTTATGATTTTTGAATGGCATTTCTTCATTTGTTTGGCGATGAGTCAGGGAGAACCCCTGTTAGAACCCCAGAGCCACTGTGGTGTGATAGTAGAAGTTAGCTACCTTTCTAAGTCTTCAGTCTCTCCCAGGTCCTCATTAGTGTTATCTGTTTCCAAACAGTCTGTAGCTGCATTCAGTTTTATCACATGCCAAGTCTTCCACAACTTAAATTCCACTCTCCATCTGAAACATACAACATAAAGGAAAATAACAACAGCCTTATAATACTGGAAAGGGAAATCCCAGGGCTCCCTACTCAGATTTATAATCTTATCCCTGCCA
Source organism: Homo sapiens (assembly GCF_000001405.40). Taxonomy (NCBI): domain Eukaryota; kingdom Metazoa; phylum Chordata; class Mammalia; order Primates; family Hominidae; genus Homo; species Homo sapiens. The sequence continues at coordinate 76,390,105 of NC_000013.11, read as the reverse complement.
TTTCTCTTCCTGTTCCCACGGTGTAAAAGAAAACAAAAGTTACCTGCAAAATATTCCTGTATATCCCAAAGCTTGATTCAAAAATCTAATAATAGATTAGAGATGTCTGCTTTCAATCTGGAGTAACAGGGACCAGATTTACCATCCACCTGAAATAACCAAGATACAGACAAAAAGAATGAAACAGTATTTTTCAAGACACTGAACATCACTGGCAAGGAAGGATAAGAATCCCTTAGAGATGGAAAATGAGTAAGGTAAGCCTTGCAGTTGCACTAGCTCACTGCCTGAAGAGAGCCCCAGGCCACGAGCCGAGAAGGAAAGTCCATACAGAGCCTGGTGGACAACCTGAATTGAAGAGATAGAACTGGGTGTCTAAGGAGACAAGGCAGATAGAGTTTGTGGGGTGGTACTCTACAATGAGGGGGCTGCAGAAATGAGATAAATTTCTGGAGGTCTTCAGAGGACCCTCATGATTCTTCAGTGCCATACTAATCAGTGCAAGCATGTAAGAAAAAAACTTGAGGTAGAGAAAGAACTACTCAGAAGAATTAGAGACAACAGTGCTCATAACTTACAGGAACAGTGCTTGTTCTCACAAGCCAGGCTGGAAAACTTCATGATTCACAGAGTATTGAGTAGAGTACACAGACAAGCTTGCCGTGCTGTTTACCCAGAATAACAAAAGCATAAGTTCTGTAAAAGACTTGCATATAAATATTCATAGCAACCTTCTCTGTAATAGTTCCAACCTGAAAACAACCTAAACATCCATCAGAAGATAAATAGATAATCAAAATTGTGGTATAGCTTTATAGTGGAACATTAGTAAGCAATATAATAAGTGAACTATTGATATACACTGTAGCAAATTATGCTGAGTAAATGAAGTCAGACAAAAAATGAGTACATGCCGTATGCTTCCGTTTATATGAAGTTTTGTATTAACAATAGCAGAACTCATCTATAATTATAGAAGGCAAAGAGGAAATCTGTGAGTGAGTGAGAAGGAGAGGCTGAAGATCCTCCTTGGAGAATCCTTGGGTAAAGAGATTACAATAGTTCACAGGAGCAATTTGGGGAGTGATGTGTATGTTTATTATCTTGCTTAGAAATAATGAACATGTTTATTATTTTGATCATGATTAAGGTTTCACAGGTGTGTATATATGTGAAAACTCATCAAATTGTGTACTTTAAATGTCAGTTTATTTCAAGTCAATTATATCTTAATGCTGTTTAAGAAACTGAAAAAAATTAAAAACAGATCGAATGAATCCAGCTATGAGTGAGTTAGTCTTACAAGTCTAAATGTCTCTTGGTCTTTAACTGGGACACATTGTGATATTATATTTATCTACTTCCAAAGATATAAAAATAAGCTGGCAATTTTTATTTTGAGTATAATGTACAAAAGCTCATAATCCTATAAACTGTAGTAGAAGTTCAAAAGAATTTGGGATGAATTACTGCATTCTCATTCAGATTTGCTCATTACTCATTCTTAATCTAAAAAGTTAGCAAGAAATAGGATTTTTAAAACATGCCATTCATAGGAGACAGTTTACTCTGGTGATTTTTGAATTTTGACCATCTCAGAGTACACTACAAATGTTTTTAACATAAAGATGGCTATCCCAGCTCTGGGAATTGTGATTTACTAGATTTGGATCTTCTTTTGTGGGTTGTTCTGGAATTTTCTCTGGATTTGTGAAGTCTTCCAGAATGAAGTAAAAGGTGACTTCTAGTGAAATCCATATGTCTCCCTGAGCAAAATATTCTAAATATACAGCCTGAGCATTTGGCAGCTGTGTGTGTTTCAGTACAGTTAAGGTCCTAAATGAAAACCTCAGAAAGGCACAACAATATGCCTGGAGGAGCAAAGGTTGTGACATATACTACAAGCCAATGAGCAAGGGAAAGTTAAAACTACAGTGGAGACTGGTGACCCAGTCAGAAGACTTGGTTTTGAGTGCTTATGAACATACACAAAACCTTTTTACCCATTTTAAATTTGATTTTCCCACTCTAATGTTGAAATCATAATAATATCTACCCAACTAAAAGAGTGTAGAGGATCAATACAATGTATGTAAATGTAGATTGTAACTTTTGAAAGCATTACTAAATATTATCATTATTTATTTAGCATCAATTCTCAAATGTTCTCTGCACTAAGCACTTTCATAGATGTCTTTCAATTGTATCCTCACAATTATCCTATGAAGTTGGTGTTGGATACATAGGTTTAATAGGCAGAGAAACTAAAGCTTAGACGGATAAAAACAGGTCTGCAGGGCCACAGTGCAGCAGTGCAGACATTGGGCAATTCTGGCTGGTTTCTAGTCCCAGACTTCCTCTATCCACTCTGGTATGTACCCAGTTATGTCAGTTTTAGAATGAGTGGGGAAGTGTGGGAAACCCATTTCAGGTATTCTAAAGGAGCCCCTTGGTGAGGAATTTATAACCATGAACTTTAATTGCCAGAACAAGGAAAACCACTAAATTGTCTATAGTATTCTGTGCAAAACAAAACAAAACAAAACCTCCTAAAACTATATCCAAAGGACAATTGGAGAGAAAATGAATATAAGCTGGATAAAAGTTACATATTGATACAGACAACACTTTGCTTCCAAAATAGCTGGGGACAGTGAAATGAATAGCCTCACCAGCTTTGTGGTAGATTTTGTTCCCAAAGAGGCTGAGTACTCAGGAAACAGGAAGGCACCCAATAATATCACAAAGCCCCAGTACTGCTAATGAGCTTCCCTGTGCATATAAATGATGCCCTTAATGACACCTAAACTGTAACATAGACCCTAGGGAAAATGTAGCTTTTGAAACTATGATTGCCACAAAATGCCTTTCTCTAGGAACTGACAATTACTCAAGTTGTCATTAATTCCCAGTGTAAAAAGCTAATGCAAACAATGCTGCAAATTGCATCCAAGTTCTGCTAAAAATCAGGTCGTGTGTAAATACAGCTAATGCTAAGAAGCAAAGTGCAGGAAACAATGCCAGCATCAGCAGCATCTTTGACTACAAAGAATAACTACATGACACCAAGCTCAATTTAAGCCTTCACGCCCACATCAGTAGTTCTGCATCACCAATGATCAAAGCCATCAACTTGAAGGAGACTCTAATAACGATAGGGAGTTGGGTATGAGGGATTACATTTCTTCACTACATCACTTTTTATTACTATCTTTAATAAAATATAGTTTTAGCAAATTGCTAACAGCTTCAGCAGCTGGAATTTGTAGGGCAGGAATGAGGGATTCCAAACTTTTGAGAGATTCTGAGCTGTTGTGTACTGGAGCCTGTCGTCACTATTTGCACAGTTTAAACCCATGCAGACTGTGTACCTGGTCAACCCTAGTATTTCCTGTCATGGATCTGCTTGTTGTCTTTGCCCCGCTAGCAGGGAATCCTTATGACCAGGGTTCCTTTCTTCCCCTGAGAATAAAATATAGATTCAAAGCATCTTGGAAATATCTCCACTGTGACTATGAAAGAGGCAATGAGATTGCATAAGGGGATGGGGAGTGTACAATCAGGTTGGATGCAAGGCAGGAGCTTAGTTGTGTCAGTCATGAGTTTATATGCACGCAGAGGTATGCACGCTGCTTGGCAGGAGGAGAGGATGGTTGTAAAATCATGAAGAATCCAGGATTCAATCTAAGTACTCTTTAACACCACTTAAGTTTTCCTTTTGATTGTACCTTGCTGTTTCTCTTGATACATAGATAATTTCCCCTTTCACATTTTGTTGCCATTTGGTAGTTGACGGTATAAACCACTTTATAATAGAGTAAAGCAGAGGCCACTGTGAGGGAACATGATTGAAATAAAAAGAGTGGGTTTAAGATTGGGAAGTCTGAGGCCTAACATCTTTCTAACCTTAAAGCACTTAAACTCAGCTTCAGTTTCCTTGCATGTTTAGAGAGAAAATTAGACTATACATCATTACAGGGATGGGGGTACCTATATTAAGTGGGGCTCAGTGACTCATAAGGGCCTTTTATCTTTATATGGTTGTGGTTTAACACGTTTAGAGCTACATAGAATTTTTGCTATTATTATATACTAATATTCAGCCTGTGTTTATATCACACCAGCACAAATAGTAAATCAACAAGGCAACTCCATGGATTAAAAAAAAGGCAGCCAACTCAATTAACTGGCTGAAATGTCTACCTAATAAAAATTTTTCCCTTCCTTTTTTTTTTTACTTGAGGCACGCTAGGCATTAATGCCAGTTTGCACTTTAATCTAGGATGCAATGATTTAGATCATCCCCATCTGACTCATTCACTTGCCAAGTAATCACATTCATTGCCCGGCAATTTTTCATAGAAAACTTTTGTTGTACAAAAATATGTTTTTTAAATCACCAACCACTTCCAATAGATATAAATAGAAACAGGGTAGACAGAATATAGGTCAAAGAGGTATTGGTTTGCTATGAGCATGAAGTAAAAACAGTACTTTTTTTTTTTTTTTTTGCCTCTGGGTGGCCTGGTTGAGTTTAAATACTTAAAAAGCTTTTAATTTACATAATGCATACATACATACCTCAGACTCTAGATTCAGGATAGGGACAGAGAGCATTTAAAAGCTTAGATAGAGAATTCCAGCTTTGTCACTTGCGAGCTTTTAACTTGTTCAAGGTATTGACCACTCTGAACTTTGATTTCCTCACCGGTAAAATGGCTGTTATAATCCTATAGTCATGCAATGCAAGGGGAAATTGATTGATCGATTGACTGATTTTGAGACAGAATCTTGCTCTGTCACCCAGGCTGGAGTGCAATGGTGCAATCTTGGCTCACTGCAACCTCTGCCTCCTGGGTTCAAGCAATTCTTCTGCCTCAGCCTCCAGAGTAGCTGGGATTACAGGTGCCCACCACCACGCCCGGCTAATTTTTGTATTTTTAGTAGAGTCTGGTTTTACCATGTTGGCCAGGCTGGTCTCAAACTCCTGTCCTCAAGTGATCTACCTGTCTTGGCCTCCCAAAATGCTGGGATCATAGGCCTGAGCCACTGTGCCTAGCCAAGGGGAGTTGAATTAATCCACATAAAGCATCTAGAGCATCACCTGACATATACCAAATGTTCAATAAGTATTAGCTAAGATCAGATAGGCTTATAAAACTTAAATTTCTAAGTTTTATGAGCTTGAAGTCATTGCTATGATTGTCTGAGGTTTTGCTGAATATTGATCATTTTAAACTATCTTAACTATACATTTTTCTTTGTCTATTAGCATTCAATTTTATATAGTAGCAAATATAAAGGAAGTATCTATAACATGAAACTAATATTTATTTTCTTAATTCAAAAATCATAATGCTTCAAATACCTGGATTTCTCGGTTTTAAGCAGTTGAAGTTTTCCATCCTTTAAATTCTTTTAAATTCCCCCCTTTACCTTATAGAGGTTAAAGGTCTATACGACTTCAAAGTTTAAGACCTTAAAATTCCTTGAAGGAATTTAAAACCTTAAAGATTGTATAGACCTTTGATGTGTCTACACACACACACACACACACATGCAAATCTCAAAGCATGATAGAGATTCATTCTGGCACATAATATATCTGATCAAAAATATAAGCCACTGATTTTTTTCCCTGAATCTTCCCTCCTTATCTCTCCTATCCCTCTGTTGTTTATGCAACCCTGCTAAACATCTATAATTAAATCTTGGACAAACAAATCAGCACATCATGCCATATTTCAATAGAGATGTGTCACAGGTCCCTGTGGGTTGCCCTTGTGTCTACTAAACAGCCCTACTCTAAACACAGATTCCTACAGCTGCTTTCTGCCTATCCATGGACTAGCTCAGCTCCAGCCAAACAGGAAGTCAGACTAGGCTCCAGACACTGTATTTCTATACAAAGAACTTCTGCATGATTTTGCTGCCTGCAGGAACTCCAGTGAAGTGATGGGTGACAGATAGAACAAACCTTTTGGAGACATGGAAAGAATGCAACCTTGTGCAGATCCTAACCAGATGCCTTAAAGCTATTTATTTATTCCCCCTTTTCCTCTTTTTTGCAAAAGCAATTTAAATTTAACAAATTTTTATATACAACAAAGTGTTGTCATATGAGCCCTTGAACATTTGACTTAAGAGCCAAGAGGTTAGACAATTGTTTGAATTTCATAAGGAAAAACAGATGTGGTTTCAAAGTCTCATGCTAATGGAATTCAGGCTGTGGGAAGGTGCTGGAAGCCTTGCTCTTCTCTGAAGTGGCCACGTTTTCGTTTATTCAACAAACCAAAGGCCTCAGGCTGGGTGGCTTGGAGAGATGGGTTAAAGTCATTCTCTCATTCCTCCCACTTTAAAAGATATTAGTGAATTTATAACAAATGTAATAGGCCAGTTTTCTTGTTTATTTGATACATTCTATTTTGGCAATATTAGACTGTGAAACTGAAAGCCTGTAGGAATAATTATGAATAGTGAACATTTTTATAAAGTGTCTTTGCTTTTCTCCAGTGTACTGACTAGTGAAGCAATTTATTCTATAAACACTAAAATGTAAAAAAATCACTATAGAAACTAGAACAGAGGGGAACAATTTCTACATCAGATCTCATAATTATCTCATGTGACATGTTGTCACTGCAATGTTAACTTCATCCACTAGTTCCCAAACATGTCTGATTATTTGTAATTTGGGATGTTTTACAAAAACTTCAATTCTCTAAAGCAACGTCAAATTTATAAAATCAAAGTAGCCAGGGGCAGAGTCTGAAAATTTGTATTTTTCAAAATCCTCAACTGATTTTGGTCACTAACTTAATTTCGGAAACACTCATCCACCCAAGAGATTTGTCAATTGCCTGGTTAGTTACATCAAGGCAAATTGCTACTGGATGTTTCATAGCAAAAAGCCAACACTTGATGCTAAGGTGCCTAGAATTTTGCCCTGTGAACTCGCATTCAAATTTAGATCTAAAGAATTGACTACACTGCAAAGAGGAAGGGTTATAACTCTAAGAGGTTCAGAAAATTACCTCAAGTATTTATTTTCTACATTAGGATTCTGAGGCCCAAAGAGATGATGGAACATTTGAAATAAGTACATCTGGACTTGATTTCAAGTACACAATATGGGCTCCATTTGTGATCTTCTTCAATGCCTCCTAGCATTGCCAAATTTATAATTTTTTTTCCTTTTTTTTTTTGTGAGACAGAGTCTTGTTCTGTCACCCAGGCTGGAGTGCAGTGGCGCGATCTCGGCTCACTGCAAGCTCCGCCTCCCGGGTTCACGCCATTCTCCTGCCTCAGCCTCCCAAGTAGCTGGGACTACAGGCACCCGCCACCGAGCCCGGCTAATTTTTTGTATTTTTTAGTAGAGACGGGGTTTCACTGTGTTAGCCAGGATGGTCTCGATCTCCTGACCTCGTGATCCGCCCGCCTCGGCCTCCCAAAGTGCTGGGATTACAGGCGTGAGCCACCGCGCCCTGTTGCCCACTTCATAATTTTAAACCTGTGCTGTGAACTTTGTACCCACATGCGTATCAGGTGACCAAGAGGGCCTTGATATTTAGCTTGACTAAACTTTAGACATACTTCTGGCCTTTAGGCCCCTGACTTCCTTTTCCTTAGTTCATTTACATTAGAAACTTGTAATCATAAAATCTTTCTCTGTTCCTTTAAGATGTAAATCTTTCTAAAAACTTCTTGTCGGTGTTACAACACTGAACCGTCGCTGGACGATCTTTCTTTTTTATTTATTTATTTTTTTAAATTATACTTTAAGTTCTAGGGTACGTGTGCACAACGTGCAGGTTTGTTACATATGTATACATGTGCCATGTTGGTGTGCTGCACCCATTAACTCGTCATTTACATTAGGTATATCTCCTAATGCTTTCCCTCCCCGCCTTCCCCCACCCCACAACAGGCCCTGGTGTGTGATGTTCCCCTTCCTGTGTCCAAGTGTTCTCATTGTTCAATTTCCACCTATGAGTGAGAACATGTGATCTTTCTTAAGAACTTGGAAGCCATCTCTTTGAAATGTAGTGGCCCTATGTTTCAGTTTCTCTGGGACAGTAGGAATCTAACTTCAGAGGGCATCTCATTCCAAGTTATTAAACTACCTCCTGTCATGAAGATACAAGAAGGTGTACTTTTCCTTTGGGTAAGGCCAATTACCAAGAACTGGTGGCCTGTAATGCTCTCTATCCCAGCTCTTAAAAACTCTCCAGCCCTTCCTTTCAGCAGAGTTGAGCTCAGACTAAGTTCTTGTCTCTCTCTCCTATTGCACCAGCCTTGCATTTAATCTTCCTTGACTGTTTAACTTTGTCCAGTTGAATTTTTGTTTTTATATGACATACTGTGCCTTTTACAGTAAGTTGGTAATACCTCTATTATACTTTCATCGGTTTTCTAATCAAAATAAGGGTTGGCTGTGTGCAGTGGCTCTCACCTGTAATCTTAATCTCAGCACTTTGGGAGGCTGAGGTGGGTGGATCACCTAAGGTCAGGAGTTCGAGACCAGCCTGGCCAACATGGCGAAACACCGTCTCTACTAAAAATATAAAAATTAGCCGGGTGTGGCAGCAGGTGCTTGTAATCCCAGCTACTCAGGAGGCTGAGGCAGGAGAATCGCTTGAACGGGGAAGGCGGAGATTGCAGTGAGCCAAGATCACGCCACTGTACTCCAGCCTGAGCAACAGAGTGAGACTCATCAAAAAAAAAAAAAAAAAAAAAAAAAAGAGTTGATATTTTGTTAGTCTTATTGTCTCTTTCTGAAAGCGCAGTAAATCATAATATGTGTCATCTATCTAAAAGGGAAATGAGTGTCCTAATTATACATTACAGAAGGCCTGCTGATGGGGCTTCAGCTCCATAGTCGTAGCCAGACATCATACCAAGTAACTAGATTAAAAGTAGCAAGGAAACAAAAAGGATATTAATGGCAGTGATGGCCACAAAAGTCTAAGTTCCCCAGTCTGTCCAGAGGAGGAGTTACCCTTAGACTTTATGAAATAGATATATATACACATATCTAGAGATCTTAAAAAATGAAGAATGCTTTATCAGTGTGAAGTTCTTTGGAAAAGTCACTGTGGGAACACAAGGTTTTTTTGTTTTGTTTTTTTCTAGCCTTTTTCCTCTTGAGACTTAGAAAGCCATAACAGTAGTGTCTATTCAAGTTGGAAAGAAGTTGATCTTTGTGGTGCCCAGATGGCTAAATAACCCAAACACCAGCTTTAAAATGCAAAAGTATGATAATGATAGAAAAAAAAAAAGGCTTTGTCTATGGAAGACAGGATAAACTTTCAGAGCTAAGGGATATTTTAGGAATTTTTCATTAAACCACAGTAAAGGACATGTGGTACTGTATTCCATCTATAGAAACACACATTCTTTCTATTTTAGTTTGTTAGGGCAGCTGTGAAAAATACCACAAACTGGGTGCCTTAAACAACAGAAGTCTATTGTCTCACAGTTCTGCAGGCTGAAATCCAAGATCGAGGTGTTGGCAGGGGTGGTTCTTTCTGAGGGTTGTGAGAGATAATCTGCTTCATGCTCTCTCATTTATGGTGGGTTGCTGGCAATGTTTGGCATTCCTTGGCTTGTAGAAGCATTACCCTTATTCACACACACTTTTATCTTCACCTGGCATTCTCCCTGTGTGAATATCTGTTTCCAAATTTCCCCTTTATTTATAAGGATACCAGCTGATGTATGCATTAAAAAGTGGTGTAGTCTAGTGGGCAGCAGAACCCTGAGTTTGAAAACATAGACTTGGAGCCAAGGAGATTCAGACTTTAATCAGAATTATTCCAGTGACTACCCATGTGACCTTGAATAAGGTAGTCAACCCATCTAAACCTCAGATTTTTCACCCATACAAAAGGAATAAGATCTACTGACTAGGGATATTCGTAATGGAAACATTAAGTAATATAATATGTGCAAACCACCAGGAAATAGTCTTTGGTACATACAAAAGCTAAAGAAATGGTTGTTTTATTAGATTAATAATGTATAACTTTAAAAGTACTTCTTAGTCTTGAAAATCGGGTAACCATACCTTACAGCCATTGTGCAATGTATTAATATGACAAATTTCTCTGGAATTCATCAACGTTATAAAACAATTTAAAAGTATATACATACTCTAGACAGACTAACACATGAGATAAAATGAGCTTTCTGGAATGCATGGCTTTAGCATAGCAATGCTATAGTAGAAACTATATATGGAAGAGAACGTTGGGTAGTGGCTCAACAACAGGAAAATAAGTGTTGCAATCAAAAGCATGCAAGTGGTGAAACTGTATGGAAGTTAGGGAATAAAATGATAAATAGTCAAGAATTCAAATTTTAAAATGCTTATACTTAAGTCAGCCTCTGTATTTTACAGATGAGGAAATGGAGATGTGGAGGATCCATGGTGGGCAAAGTAGAAATAGGGAGGGCTTAGCTCTTCCCTAAATCTTCAACATAAATATAAAGTATTGTGCCAATAAATCTTCCATCCTCCCTCGCCAACCAGACTGCTGGTACTATGCCTCACCTAAGTAGGATTCCTGAGATCCCCTGTCAAGATCAGACATGCTGTGGCCAAGGTAGAAACTGAGTGCTTTGCCTCTGTATGTACTGTTTTTATTCTATGCCACTTTATTTTAAAGAAAAAGGATAGATAAAAAATGTTATAGATATGAAAACTGATGGAAACAATAATGTAAGCAAAAGTGAGAGAATAAAATTTCTAGCTTTGAGAACTGAGCAACTCTAAAGCACATTTTAAAATTATTTTAAAATAATATTTTTAAAAATAAATATAAAATGCATTCCACTTATTTCAGGAACCGTCTTTAACCAGATGTCAGATGACTCTGGACAAGAGGAACTGAATTAGAAAGATCTAGAATTGCTATCCACTGAGTCTATGGGCTTTCTTATATTACTGAACTGCACCTTTAATTTTACTGAGAGAAATCCTGAGGACATAAAGAAGATGGCAAAAAGACACGTGACAACTCATCTTAAAAGGAAGATTTATAAAAATTTCATATATGAAACCCTACTTCCTTAAATGATAGAGAATCATACTGATGCCTTCTCTTTGCAGAACTAGCTCTTTAGCCTTTGGGAGATAACTCAAGTACCTATTTTAGTCATCACTACTGTAGTTAAAGTTGCTATAAGAAGAGAGACATCTGGGTCCTAGACCAAACTTTATTTCAGTGAATGAATCCAGAGTAAATAAATCATCTTCTGTCACACTTCCTATAGTATTAAAATACAGATAGCTAGAATGAATGCCAACAGACTCCCAAAACAATAAAAAACCTAGGAGGCATCCCAGTGTCCCCTGGCTACCTGCCAAGAGCCTATCTTTTTGATGGACAGTTCTTGTTAAAAGTAAGACAAAGAGCAAACATATCAACCAGAAAGGTTTTTACGTTTTTCACTTCAAGTGACACAATGTAGATCTACCACCAGCTTAAATAGATAAGGGCTTTTATTTCCTCAAAATAAGAGGTGGCAGCTTAGGTGTGGTGAAATTGCTCAAGGATGTCAGTCAGAACCCAGGCTCCTCCATTCTTTTGGCTCCACTACCCTCAGTGGGAGGCTTTCATCCTAATGCATGCAATATGTTTGCTGTGTCTCTAAGCATTGCATCGGCTGGCCAGGCAAGAAGAGGAGAAAAGAAAAAAATGTTAAAGAATAGATGTGAGAGTTGCCTCTTCTATTTAAAAATTTATCAAAATTCTTACCTAATTTCTGCTACTTATTTCTCACTGACCAAACTCATGTCACATGACCATACCTAGCTGCAACAGAGTCTGGATAAGTGAGTATTTTGGGCTTTCCAGGCTTTCTAGTAGAGAAAGGAAAAAAGAGAATGAAATCAAGAATGTTTTAGAGAAAATCAATTCACATAGTCTTTTGCAGAAAGTAATCATGTTTCATTGAGGTGATGAAGCTGAAATTTCACATTATTTTCCATTTCTTAAAAATTCTACTTCATAATCTTTCTTCTTAATTGTTCCCACTACCCACTTACTTTAATCTATGTGTTCTTGAGTACTTCATTGTGTCAATGTACAGGTTCATAACAGTGTTTGCGATGTATGAGTAATAGTTTAGTGAAGAAGAAAATGTGTGTATGTATTTGCATGTTTGTGCAAATTCTGGAATGGTTGCATAGGTTGCTGGTATGCTAATATATTTGTTTGTGCCTATAGATCTATTTTTCCCCACTTTCAACCCTGCTCTTTACTCAGTGTAATTGACCTGTATGAAATATATCAACAGGATTTTCATGTTCTGGGGCTTCCAATTAGCTTCAGCCAGTCAGGAGCCTAAACAGGAGATCAGAGTATAGCTGTGTGGTGAGGCTGCTATTTACTCAAACTACAGTTTCTTCCCTGTGAAGATGTATCAAGATGATTTGTGCCTCAACTGAAGGCCATTGTTCCTTTAACTTGAAAAGATATAAATGGAAAAACACTGCTTGATAGTAATCACAACAGTGTGGTTTTGCATAAAAAGAGACAAACAGAACAATGGAACTGAAGAGAGAGCCCAGAAATAAACATAAGCATATATAGTCAACTAATCTTTGAAAAGACTGCCAAGAACATACAGCGGGAAAAGAATAGTCTCTTCAATAAATGGTGATGGGAAAATTGGATGACCACATGCAAAAGAATGCAATTGGACCCTTACACCATATACAAAAAATTACTTTGTAGTGGACTGAAAACTTGAATGTAAGACCTTTAACCATAAAACTCCTAGAAGATACACAGGGAAAAATCTCCTTTAAAAAATTTCCATGTTATTTTGGCTATGACACCAAAAACACAGGAAACAAAAGCAAAAATAGACAAATAGGATTTAATCAAGATACAAAGCTTCTACACAGCAAAGGAAATGATCAACAGAGTGAAAAGGCAACCTAAGGGATGGAAGAAAATATCTGCAAACCGTGTATCCAGGAAAGTGTTAAAATCCAAAATGTATAAGGAATTCATTCAACTCAATAGCAAAGAAAGTGAAAAACAGCAAACAAAACCCTACAATAAATAATCTGATTTAAAAATAGGCAAAGGACCTTAATAGATATTTTTTCCAAAGAAGATATATAGATGGCCAACAAGTATATTAAAAATGCTCAGCATCACTAATCATCAGGGAAATGCAAATCAAAACCACAATGAGATCTCACATCACAGCTGTTAGAATGATTATTATAAAAAGAAAAAAGATAAGTGTTGGTCAGGGCATGGAGGAAAGAGTACCCTTGTTCACTGTTGATGGGATTATAAATTAGTATAGCTGTTATGAAAAACAGTATAGAGGTTCTTCTGAAAATTAAAAATAGAACTACCATATGATCCAGCAACCCCATTTCTGGGTATGTGTCTAAAGGAAATGAAATCAGTATCTCAAAGAGACATCTGCACTCCAAGGTTCATTGCATAATAGCCAAGATTATAGAAACAACCTAAGTGTCTGTCAACAAATGAGTGGATACAGGTATTTTGGTGTACGTATACACAATGGAATATTATTCTGCCATAAAAAGAAGGAAATACCGTCATTAGTGATAATATGGATGAACTTGAAGAATACATTGCTAAGTAAAATAAGCCAGGCACAGAAAGACAAATATTGCATGTTATCACTAACATGTGGGAGCTAAAAAAAACACTGGACTCGTGGAGATGTTGGATGGACTGATGGTTACCTGAGGGTGGGAAGGATAGTCGAGAGGGTTAACAGGTACAAAAATACAGTTAGAGAGAAGGAATAAGATTGTGTTTGGTAGCACAATAGGGTGGCTATAATTAACAACAACTGATTGTATATTTCAAAATAACTAAAAGAGTAGATTGGAATGTTCCTAACACAAAGAAGTGATTAATGCAATTATCCTAATGTGATCATTACCATCACACATTGTATGCTTGTATCACAATATCACATGTACCTCATAAATATGTATAACTAGTATGTATCCATATCATTAAACATATAAATCAAAATATAAAAATCAAACTCAAGGAAGAAGATAGTAGAATGGTGGTTTCCAGAGGCCAAGAGGAGAGTGAAATGGGGAGATGTTGATCAAAGGGTATAATCCTTTAGTTACATGAATAGGTTTTGGGGATCTATAGTGTAGCATGGTGATTATAGTTAATAATACTGTATTGTGTATTTAAAATTGATGAGAGCATATTTTGTGTCTCACTCCCCTACACACACAAATGATAACTATGTGTGTTGATGGATACATTAATTCAATTATGATAATCGTTACACAATGGTATGTTGTACACCTTGAATATATACAATTTTAATTTGTCAATTATACCTCAATAAAGCAGAGAAAAAAAGAATAAAGAAACCCTATTCTACACCCAGTAGCAACAGCTATGTATATGTGGGTGTGATTACAACTGAGAACATTTAAATACTGACCATCCTGACTGAATATTTGATTATATTAAGAAATTATTGTTATTTTAAAATATGAAGTGATATTGTGGATATGTTAAAACTATAACATGTTGTATACATATATCTAAAAACTTGTATAAAATGATCTCATATCTGAAATTTGCTTTAAATAATCTAAAAGAGGTGAAGTAGGTGGGTTATAGATGAAATAACCTTTACTGTGATCTGATATGTGTTGAAGTTGGTTGGTAGGTGCATGGTGATTCATCACATATTTTCTCTAATTTTGCCTATATTGGTAGTTTTTAATATTTAAAATTAGAAAAAAATCACTGTCACCTGTTATAGAAAGTTGCAGTTTATTTGCGTCAGGTGTGTGCACAGAATGCTAGTCACCCCTAGTACCTGAGAGTCAGGATCTGGATAGGAATTATATCATTTTATCATTTACTGTATACCTTGAACCCATGAGATAGGTATTATTTATACTATTTGAGGATAAGAAAGTTGAAACTTGGATAAATGAGTGATTAGTTCAAGGTCACACAACCCAAATCTCAGATCTGGCATTTGAACCTAGGAGAGCCTGTGGGTCTTTCCCAGTCTCACGCAGGGCTACATGTTGAGCTATTTATTGCACAGAGAAAAATGGAGATCTATCAATCAGGCATTTAGCTATTTGGTAGAGGGACACCTGAATTAAGCCAAGAAAATTTCATGATCTGCACCTTTTTGTCCTCTATAATGATTAGATTCATGATTATTTCCTCATTCCTTTATTCCTTCATGCAACAGTATTTCTTGAATTGCTTTCATGTGCCCAGCACTGCTCTAAGGCTTCAAGATAAAATGGTATAAAGGAGAGCAGGCTCCTGCCTAATGCAGTATATTATCTGGTCTAATAAGGGGAAGGATATTTGTAAAAGTAAATTCTTATAAATGTAGGTGGTGAATGAAATAATCAAGGACTTGAAATAACAGGGTGGAAGAACCTACACTGAACTGTAATATCAAGTAAGGTGACTTTCACTGAGGGCATGAGAAAGGGTTGGGATGTGAAAGGTTTGGTTTGGTGGATGGGGGTGGAAAACATGGGGAATTCCAGGCAAATGGAATGGGAAGATTTTTGTAACCAACAAAACATTGCTTGAAAAGCTGTAAAAAAATATGCCAGTGTGGCTGGAGCAGAATGCAAAAAGGGAAGTTGGGAGAAATAAAAGGTGGAGACATAGACAGCGGGTAAATGAGTCCTACAACGAAGACCTCCAAGAACACACATTTAGATAAGGACAATCATGGCACTCTGAACATTCAGAGCAATAATGCTGTTTTCCAGCTTTTGTCATTTATAAAGTACTTATTGATAAATTCTGTGATTCCCATCTGTGTCTTCAAATAAACACATCTCTCTCACAGTCTCATCTCCCTACTGAGCTCCAACTTCCTCACTGGTGCCTCACACCCTTCTTATTACTTGACTGAAAAAGCTCACCTGTTTTCTCCAGAACCAACTTATTCCTGATATTAATGAAGACCCTCATCCGTCCGATCACCCAAGACAGAAATCTGGATTACACTTTAGAATATTCTCCTAGTATTCCATCAGCTGCCAAGTTCTGTAGATTGCATATCCACAGCATAACCTATACGTGAGTTTTTCTCTGCACCTTAATTTCTATTGCCTTAGTTCAAGTATTCATCATTTCTTGGAGTGATTTCCTGACAGGCCATTTTTCCTCTAATCTCACACTTCTGCTATCCATCCTCTATTCTATCATCAAATCGACCTTCTAAATCCTAATATTACATCCCATCCAGGTTAAAATCATTTATTACACATTTTTCTCTGAATGAAGTTCATAATTCTTGGTATGGCACCAAAGACCCTCTCACTCTTATCTGCTCCTCCATCTTGTCTTTCACTGCATCATTTCTTAGACTCTATTCTTTTTGTACAAAACTACCTGCAGTGCCCGTGACAAGCCAGCCTATTTCACACCTCTATGCTTCTGCTCACTTTCCCGATAATGCCTTTCTGTTTCCCTCTGACTGATGCATGGATGACTCTTATTGAAAGAGGACTGACTCCCCTTTGATGATAAAGATCCATCATTATATGCTCTGTGAAGGCTTCCTTTCCCACTTCAGCACTTTATATGGCACCAAATCTGCACCTCTAGCAATCCGGCACATTTATTTCCATTTCATGGTATATTTCTCACCACTTTATGTTTCTCAATTCTAGATAAAAATAAATTAGAATCAGAGCTTTGCCTGGAAGAGGATTAGTTGGTGCTACAGAAATCTTAAAGAAGAAATGCTACTTTATATATTTCTAGAAGTGTGTACAGTTATATTAAACTATTAAGCTGTGATTATGATGTTAAAATGTGTTATATACTACTCAGAGATGACATCTTTCTACGCAACATATGATGCGAAGAATTCTTACATACTGACTGCTTGTGTATGTGGACATCATCTATAATATTTTTATTATTTAGTGTCTTGTTCTTTTCATTCCTGTCCAATTCAATTATTTGAAAAAATTTCTTGTTTTTGATAACATTTAACTTATTCTTTATTTTTTACATTACATTAAAGTAGAACTGGTATCATGCTGTCACAGCAATAAGATTATGATTCTAGAAGAAAAAAAATCTCTATGTTTAAAACAGCATGAAATCAAATGTAATCATTTTAGTTTGCTTTTGACAGACGTGTAAAGCAATTTCATGCTATACTATTTTTCTCAGTCTGGATTATAAGAGAGTGAGCTCTACCAGTAATTAGTAAACTTTTGTATTTGTTTCATAATTTTCTTCCAAATGATGTGTTTCCATCAAACATCTTGCTCAATTGCCTTACACAAACCCTACCAGTTCAACACTAAAGTACTGATATATTTAACTTATTTTACGTAGTAGAATCAACTACAGATAAGATATGATGAGCTAATTACCTTGCATTATCGGGGTTGAAGTTATGTATGTATGCAAATCATATCCCACAATTAATCTCTTATATCTCTATCTTAGGGTACATGTTTTATCCCCTGTAGAGACTTCTTGTATCTCCCTATGGAGAAAGGAAAGAGAGAAAAGTGAGAGAGAGAAAGAGAGAGAGAGAGAGAGAGAGAGAGAGAGAGATGAGGGGAGGGAGGGAGAGAGACAATCTCTTTGGGATGTACAGAGACAGTCCTATTTTAATGAGGTTTTTGGTTTTTAAGATTGTTCAATTTTTCTAAATGTCTTCGCAACATATAAGGAAGTTATTTTAAAACTTTATATTATAAAACATGATAAACTGTATTAACACATTTCTCAGTGTCAAAGTTACATTTATTTCACAAATCACATCTGGTCATGGTGTACGTCTCTTTCAACTAATAGGTATCTTTTGATTAGTTAATATTTGCTCTTAAATTATGTTGGTTTATATTTGAGATTTGTCTAATAATTTTCCTTGGAGGACTATTTTTTCAAGTTTTAATACTATCACTTTTATGCTCATTTTATTAAATAATAATTAGAAAACTTTTCTTCCTTTTATATGCACCAGAACAGTTTAAACAGCATTAGAACAGTTTAAATAGCATTTGTAACTCTCCATGGCTATCCTTTTGAAAAGGACACTCTAGCAATCCTCTGATTTTCATACGGTATTGTTCTTTTAGATTCTCTATTTCATCTTTGGCCAGTTTAGAAAGTTATAATTACCTGGGAGATTATCTATTTCATGTATATTTTCAAGCTTATTTGTGCAGTTAAAATCATCTCACAGGAATATCTTAATGTTCTATCTTTAGGTGGTTAGTTCCCCATTCTTATTTCTTATTTATTATATATGTTCTCTAGCCCTTTTTTTTGAGAATTTTTTGGTAAACATTTCTTTTATTGTGCTTTCTTCTAATATTCATGCCTTTAAATTTATTCACTAGTCCTACTGCTTTCTGCTTGATAATTGATACATTTCTTCTTGTTGCTTTTATTAATTTTTCTTCTACTTTTCTTGGGTTCTTTTTAAATGTTTTTCTATGTCTTTTTAAAACTTACTTAGCTCAATGACTAATTTATTTTTATTCTACCTGATAAATTGATGTGTCTTTTAAAGACAATGGATTTTTCTAATTTTCTTTTAACATTGATTTTGAGTGATCTCAAATCTTTTGTTATGGAACATTTTTGTTATTTTCTTACTGTTTATTTTCACATTCAGTTTTGTGAGGTTTTTTCTGTTTTGTGATCACAGAGTATTGGAATTTGATGATGCTTACATTGTTCCTGAATATATGGTCAATTTTTATAAATATTCCACCAGCACTTAAGAAGATATTCTTTTTTTAGGATACAGAGTTAAATACATAATTATCACAATATGCTTGTATTTATTTAGGTCTCCCACCCTTTATGTACATTTATTCACTTTAACTTTTAAGAATTGAGAGAGGTAAATTAGATTTTTACTGTTACTAATATGTTTAGATTGTGTTTTTATCATTGTGGTTGACTCTATTTTTATATTACTGTTATTTGGAGAAGAAAATTTTATAATTATTTGATTTCTATTATGAAATGTACCATTTATCATTATAAAGTGACTTTATTTGTCAATCTTTTCTGATAAGATTGTGATTATTGCTTTTTTGTGCTATTCACCTGTTTTATTTGATTGTTTTTGGTTTTTGCTCATCTTTTTATTTTCAACTTTTCTGAGTATCTTTTTATTTGGTGGCTGGAGATAGACTGTAAACCGAAAGTATTTGATTTTGTTTTTCTCATTTAAAAAGTGAAGTTTTAGCCCACTTATATTAATTGACATGATATAGTTGTTTTGTATCAGTCTTCATATATTATGTTAAATGTTCTGTTTTTATGTTTCTTTTGTTTTTCAACTTTTATTACATGGTATGGTTTTCTTTATCTGCTATCTGTCGGCTTGTAATTTAGAATGTTGATATTTTTATTACACTTCAGATATTACTTGTATATCTATAACTTTATGTACATAAACTTCTATTTCTGCAGCCAGTATGAACATTAATGAAATAAGCACATTTTTATTGCCTGTTCCTTCCCTTCCTCTTTTCACTATTTAACATTATTTTTATATTATATTTTACCATTTTCTTGGTATTTTTATTTTTTACTTATATATACTCATATCTCTAACTTTAATTAGCAACTTAAACGTCTGCCTTTTGTCCGCTGTTTCTTCACAATGAAGACAACATAACACTTATGTTATCTTCTGCATTCTTTCTCCTCTCTTTCCTAATTTTAGTGATATATAGTTTTTATTATTTGCAGTCTCTCTCTGTAACCAGAAGGATGTGGAGAAGAAAAATCACCATAGACAGCCTCCAGCTTATATTGGTGGTAGGAAGCTATTTCCTAATCCAACCCAAAGTCAAATTTTAAGGAAATGCTAGGAGAGAATTACATGACAGAGAGTGCTTACAGGAAGGAATCTGACACTCCTAGGTGGCCATTTGTTTAGACACCACAAGTGCACTCCTCCTTAAACAGTGATAAGAGGATCAGAAGAATATGATGGAGTTGGAAGGACTTGTGGGAAAGCACCCTACTCTTTCTCTATTTGATGTGGCAAGGAGACGAAGTATCCTGTGTGTCCAGGGCACTCTGGGGGGTATCTAGGCTTGAGCTGTTTGGCTATGATCAGCTCTCCAGGCCAGCCCTCTTTTGGTTGAGGAGATCCCAGCAACAAGATGCTATTAAATACACTATGGAGACAGTGGTAAAGGTTGAGCCAAAGTCAGACTTGAACACAAAGTAGACTCTCCCAGAGCCTCATGTATAGTTTATTATTGGTAGGCTAGCATTTAGGCTCTTGAGACACAAAAGAAATCTATAGCCACTCATATTAGCCAAAAAAGGCTCACAACAAATAAATGAGGATTATGACAGTGTCACAATAAATAAAGGATAAGTATCTTTTCTTGTATTTCCTTCTGTCTGCTTCCAGTGCTGGAGTAGATGGATCTACAAGAAAGAGGGAAAAAATGGGGAGTGGAGGAGTATTCTTCATCCTCCTCTTGTCCTTTCAGGTTTCTCCAGCTCAGGTCTGGTCTATGTTGAGTGGATTGGGGGAAAGCTTTAAACAGAGTGTCCAATTGAAATATTAACATTGGGCTGGATTGTTAATTACCAAAAGTGACTGAAAATTAATGGAATTTCCCCACAGTGTCCTTAAGAAAAGGAATTTGACATAGCATGCCTGAAGGCATTGATTCAAGAACAATAAAAACTATTCAGATTTGTACAGTACAAGTTTCTCAAAATACTGGTTATTTGGTCTTTGGATGGATAATATGTTGGTTTCTTTCTTAAAATAATGTTCAGTTGTATTGAGGTCTAATTGACATGTAGGAATTATATATTTAAGGTGTACAACTTAATGTTTTGATATATGTATACATTCTGAAATGATCATCACCATAAAGCTAATTCATATGTCTATCACGTCACAGAGTTACCATTTTCTTTCCTTTTCTATGGGTGTGGTAAGAATATTTAAGATCTACCCTCTTAGAAAATTTCAAATATACAATATAATACTGTAAACTATAATCACCCTCCTGTATATTAGATCAGAACTCATTCATCTTGCATAACTGGAAACTTGTATTCTTTGACCAACATCTCACCATTTCCCCCTGCCCCAACCCCTGGCAACCAACGTGCTACTTTCTTCTTCTATGAGTTTGACTGTTTAGATTCCACATGTAAATGAGATCATGCAGTACTTATCTTTCTGTGTCTGGCTTATTTCACTTAGCATAATGTCTTCCATGTTCATCCATGTTGCTAAAAATGGCAGGATTTTCTTCTTTTTAAGCCTCAATAATGTTATATATATAAACATAAATACATATCTCTGTATATATATATATATATATATATACACACACACACACACACACACACACACACACATAGCACATTTGCCTTATCCAGCCATCTGTTGATGGTTATTTAAGTTGTTTCCATATATTTGCCATTGTGAATAATGCTACAGTGAACATTGAAGGGGAGATATCTCTTTGAAATCCAAATTCCATTTCCTTTGGATTACATCCAGAAGTGGATGATTGCTGGATCATATGGTACTTCAATTTTTAATTTTTTGAGGAATCTGCATGCTGTTTTCCATATTGACTGTACCAATTTACAGCATCACCAACAGTGTGCAAGGGTTCACTTTTCTCCACACCCTTGCAAACAATTTTTATTCCTTGTAATTTTGATAATGGTCATTCTAACAGATGTGAGGTGATAGTTCATGGTAATTTCGACTTGCATTTTCCTGATGATTTGTGATTTTGAGCACTTTTTCATTTATTTATTGTCCATTTGTATGTCTTCTTTGGATAAATATCTATTCAGGTTTTTCCCCCAGTTTTAACTGAGTTTTTTTTTGATTGAGTTGTTCGAACTGCTTATATATTTTGAATATTAACACTTACCACATGTATGATTTGCAAATATTTTTTCCCATTTCTTAGGTTATCTTTTCACTCTGTTGATTGTTGCTTTTGGTATGCAGAAGCTTTTTAGTTTATTGGAATAGTACTTATCAATTTTAGTTTGTTGGAATTCCACTTATCAATTCTCTTTTTTCCTGTACTTTTGCTGTCACAGCCAAAAAATCTTTACCAAATCAATGTCAAAAATATTTTTTCCCTTGTTAGTAGTTTCACAGTTTCAGATCTTATATTTGCCTTTAATCCATTTTGAGTTGATTTTTGTATATGGTGTGAAATGAAGATCCAATTTTATTCTTCTGCATGTGGGTATTCAGTTTCCCAGCACCTTTATTGAAGAGACTGTCCTTTCCCCATAGTGTGTTCTTGGCACCCTGGTGGAAGATCAGTTGACCATAAATGTTTGGATATATTTCTGGCATCTCTATTTTGTTCCATTGATCTATATGTTTGGTTTATGCCAGTACCATACTGTTTTGATTTCTGTACCCCTGTAAAATATTTTGAAATCATAAAGTATGATGCCTCCAGCTTGTTCCTTCTTCCTCAAGATTGCTTTGGCTACTTGGGGTCTTTTGCAGTTTATATGAATTTTAGGAATTTTTTTCTATTTCCATAAAGAATGCCATTGGAATTTTGATAGGTATTGCATTGAATCTGTAGAACATTTTGAGTAGTATGGACATTTTAACAATATTAATTCTCCAGTCCATGAACATGAGTTATCCTCATTTATCTATGTCTTCTTTAATTTCCTTAATCAATGTTTTATAGTTTTCAGTGTACACGACTTTCATCCCTTTCAGTAAGTTTTTGCCTAAGTATTTTATTATTTTTGTTGCTATTGTAAATGAGAGCCTTTTCTTTTGCTTTCTGGATAGTTTATTCTTAGTGTATAAAAATGCCACAATTTTTGTATATTGATTTTATATCCTGCCATTGTATTAAATGTATTAGTTCTAACAGTTTTTGTTGAGATTTTAGGATTTTCTACGTGTATTATGTTATCTGCAGAGATAATTTTACTTCTTTATTTCCTACTGGGATGCTGTTTATCTTTTTTTTAATTTTTGCCTAATTCTCTAGCTAGGACTTCTAGTACTATGTTACATAGAAGTGGTAAGAGTGAGCATTCTTGCATTGTTCCCCTTAGGAGAAAAAAAAGCTTTCAGTAGCTATGGGCTTATCGTGTGTCCATTAACGTGAGGTACATTCCTTCTATTTTTTTTTTTTTTTTTTCTGAGTTGGAGTTTCACTCATATTGCCCAGGCTGGAGTGCAATGGTGCAATCTCGGCTCCCTGCAGCGTCCGCCTCCGGGGTTCAAGTGATTCTCCTGCCTCAGCTTACAGAGTAGCTGGGATTACAGGCGCACACCACCACACCCAGCTAATATTTGTATTTTTAGTAGAGACAGGGTTTTGCCATGTTGGCCAGACTGGTCTCAAACTCCCAACCTGAGGTGATCCACCCACCTCGACCTCCCAAAGTGGTGGGATTACAGCTGTGAGCCACCACACCTGGCCAAGATTTTTTATCATGAAAGGATGTTAGATTTTTTCAAATGCCTTTTCTGTGTCAATTGAGATGATTGTGGTTTTTGTCTTTCATTTTGTTAATGTAGTGTATCACATCTATAGATTTGCATATTGTAGTAGGTGGTTCCTGGATTGCTATAAAAAATACCTGAGACTGAGTAATTTATAAAGGAAAGGAATTTAATTGGTTCACTGTTCTGTAGGCTGCACAGGAAGCTGACAATCATGGCAGAGGGCAGTGCTGGAGCTTGCATGTCATATGGCAAAAGCAGGAGCAAGGTGGGAAACAGGTGCCACACACTTTTAAAAGACCATATCTTGTGAGAACTCAACTGTCTTCAGAATAGCACCAAGAGGATGGTACCAAACCATTTATGTGAAACCCGCCCCCATGATCCTGTCACTTCCCACCAGGCCTCACCTCCAACAATGGGGATTACAATCCCACAGGGGATTTGGGTAGAGACAGAGATGCAAACCATATTGCATATGTTGAACCATTCTTTGGTTCCCAGGGATAAATTCTACTTGGTCACTGTGTATAATCCTCGAAATGTGCTTTTGGATTAGGTTTGCTGATATTTTATTGAAGATTTTTGCGTCTATGTTCAAAGATATTGACCTGTAATTTCGTGCGATGTCTTTGTCTGGCTTTGGTATCAGGGTGACACTGGCCTCATAAAATAAATTTGGAGATGTTCCCTCTTCTATTTTTTTGGAAGAATGTAGTATTGCTATCAATTCTTTTTTGAATGTTTGGTAGAATTCACCTGTGATGCTATCTGGCCCTAGACTTTGTTAGGAGGTTTTTTATTATTGATTTAATCTCTTTACTTGTTATTGTTCTGTTCAGGCTATTTTTTCTAGATTCAATCTGTGTATGTTTTATGTCTCTAGGAATGTATCGATTTCTTCTAGTTGGTTTCTTTATATTGACTGCATGAGATAAATTTTTCCTGGACTGGCTACTGCCAAAGTTTGTGTTCAGATTGGCCAGCAAGTCATCTGGATTGGTATATTTGTTTCCTGGCATAGAGTGAATATTTTTAGCCTGACCCAGGCTGTGTGTGAGGGTATAAGTTGTTTTTGTCTTCTCCTCATTCAATAAAAAGTAGCAGCTCTGAACCTAGTCTCTAACCTCCACCCTGCAAATGTCATCTCCTCTGTGTGTCCTCAATTAGCAGACCCTTTCCAGTATCCTCAGTGGTACAAAGGGCCCAAGAAACCTTCACCTGTCAGTCCACGAATTCTGCTCCTTTATTTCCAGTAAAGAGAATTCACACTACCTCTGTTATTTAGTCTTTTTATTTTGTAAAAAATTTGAAGGTACAGAAAATTTACAAGAAAGTAAACTTACGTATACTCTTTTCCTAGATTTACTATTTGAGATAATTTTTCTTTCTCTCCATTAAAAGTATATACACGCTTGTAATGTACATATATAAAAGTTATCATTTACTGAACCAATTGCAAATTTCATGATTCTTTACTCAGAAATGCTTGATGTATAGCTTAAGAAAAAAATTCTCTGAAACAACCAAAATAGAATTATTCAATTGAGGAAATTTAACCCTGATACATAATAACTAGATCATTTATATTCAAAATTCACCAACTGTCCCAATAATGTATTTTAGAGTGTGTTTTTCTGATCCAGCTTCCAATCCAAGATCACACACTGAATTTATTTTTCATGTCTCTTTCATCTTTAATATTGAACAGATTTGTATGCTTTTACATCTTTATATTGACATTTTGGAAGAGCCATAGGCATTGCTTCTGTAAAATGCCCCTTTGGAAGAAAGAGTCTGACTCTACTTTTTGATGTTTGACTGCTGACAACTTTCGAGACTCACCTTGCCTCTTCCGCCCCACACTTAGGCAAGCTGACAAAAAAGCCCAAGTGTTTCCTTTATGGTGCAGTTGGAGTTTCAAACTGTGAACATTGTCAGAATCAAAATGGAGTCATTAATGTTAAGAAAACCCTGATGAACAGAGCCAGGAAAGGCCATGAAGAGAGGGTTCTCACATTTATTTTTTTGATAACTAAAAAGACCGTGAAAACACAAGCTTGCACAAAGGCCATTGCAACCTTCCACAAAAAATACTTCTGCAAGGATGTCTGCCCAACAGCTGCCTGTCCAACCTCAGACTGGCATCATCCTTGTTATTGATCCTTATAACCACAAATAATTATTTCAAAACAGTTATTTAATTCTCCTCATTGTTATTTTAAAAACATTTGCTTCCTTTACCTCCATGAATATGCACATAGTTTACTTATGGCACACATATTCCCATTGCAGTGCTTCATTCTCAAATATATATCCTCTCTTTTAGACTCCTAGTTTGTTATTTAAGTTGAAAAAACTATGCAAGCTCCTGCCCTTGTGTGGGAACCTTCACTCTGACTTCACCTCCTAACCACAATAAAAATCCCAAGCCATCTTTTGTTTCTCTCTCTAAAGCAATTTTTGAGTATTCATGGGAGCCACTTCATTTCATCCAGAAAGTCTCATTATGTGAGTAATAAACATATTCATGCCTTTCTATACCTTCTAGGTATGCGTGTGTTACATCATCAATTTGAACTTTCAAACCAAATTTTGGGTGGCGGTCCACTTCATTTTTGCTGAATGTCCACAACATTCTTGATTTATATAGTCTGATTGTTTCCTTGTGATTCATTTCAGGCTGTCTTTTTCAAGGGATAGAAATATGCAATCTTGCACCTTTCTGAGGAGATGCATGGCATCAGCTTTTCCCATTAGTGTTGACATTAACACTGATCACATAGTTAAGTGCAGGCAACCTGCTTTGAAGAACTGTGTTCTGGCCCATTGCTTGAAATTCTAACTTCAGATGTGCTTCCTCAGCATCTTCACTCATCTCCATTTGACCTTCACTACAGTTGGCAGTCTTTCTAGTTAGTAATGTAGTTATGGTTACCAATGCCTCCAATTTTATTGAAATGCAAGTTTATACTTCTGTTTCTTGTTCTTCTTGTTATTTTAGAGAGCAGAAGGGGACAGAAACATAAGTCCATCATTAAAAAACAGAAGTTTCTAATTCATTTTCTTAAACAATTTTCATGTCCTGATCTATGAAATAATTTATATACAAATAAAATTAAATAAATTAATATTATTACCATAGGAAGCCTCAAATCAAAGCTGATTTTATCACTGTAAAGAGACTGTGTAAGCAATCATAATTCCTACACTCCAAAAACAGAGAACACTTCTAAGAAAAACAATTCAGGTGTTTGAACCTTGTTAAAATTCCCAATTTAGAACTTGAGAATGAAATGCATGTTTGATTATCAACTCTATGGATAACTCACAGCCTCATGGAATATTCTGATTATTTGGGAGAGGCTTCCATGATCAGAAACCAAACTTTTCCACCTTTATAAAGACACCTTGATGAAATACATGTCATTGCCTTTCCTCCTGTAGCAGGGCTGCAGGTTGATTGTATCCCTAGAGATATTTCTGCTCGAAGATATGCTACCAATATGTTTAATTTTTCCTTCTACTCATTGTAACATGATGAAAATTATTTCCTATCAAAGACTGCCATGCCGTTAAGGACAAAGCCGGAAAGCCTTTCATTAAAGGCTGCTGTGCTAATCTTACCAACTTTGTCTTCATATGATGTTATTTCTGTGATTTTTCTTCATTTGTCTCTTTTATTTTTTTGACAGAGTCTCACTCTGTTGCCCAGACTGGAGTGCAGTGGCATGATCTTCGGCTCACTGCAACCTCCACCTCCCGGGTTCAAGCGATTCTCCTGCCTCAGCCTCCTGAGTAGCTGGGACTACAGGCGCACACCACCATGGCTGGCTAATTTTTGTATTTTTAGTAGAGACAGGGTTTCACCATGTTGGCCAGGATGATCTGGATCTCCTGACCTAGTGATCCACCCACCTCAGCCTCCCAAAGTGCTGGGATTACAGGCGTGAGCCACTGCACCTGGCCCATTTGTCTCTATTTTGAACAGATGGAGAAATTGAGGAAAAGTCAGAAACTGGGTTTCTTCAGTACTGACTAAAGACCCTTCACTAAATAAAAGTGACTTTTAAAAATGCACAACAGTGTGAGTTCTAAATTCTCAGTTTTCTAGCTTGTGCAGCTTCCTGCACCTTGAGAAGGAGAGATATAAAGTAGGTGAGAAAGAGCTGAAGTTATTTTCCCAGGTTTTAAGTTGCTCAAAGGGAATGGCTCAAAGAAGCTGCTCTACTTTTATTTCTAGCTATGACACACACACACACACACACACACACACAAACACACACACACACCACTAACATATTACCAGGGATTATGTATTTTTATTTTAAAATCTTTAAAAAAGATTTTAGGTTCCAAAAAGATATAATTAACAGAACTCAGTTCAATAGTTTTTATTTTTTATGGTCTTACCAATCATTAAATTAAGATAGCACAGAAGAGGGCAACATGTAACTGAAAGCAGGACACATGCCTGTTGCTCCATAGGAATCCAGCAATGACAAAAAGGTCAGGATGTTTTCAACAAAGGTGGCTCCACATTTCCCCACTGCAGGCCCTGGCCTTTGCTAATAGGAACAAGCCTAATTTTAGCCACCAGGATGTCCCTCACTATGGTTTTAACCTTTGCAGGGGATTTTTTTTAAACATTTAGCAACAAATTTTAAAATCAAATTTCCTTATTTTAGCAAAATGTCACACAGATGGTCTGGAGCCCCACCTTTTGATGAGGGGACAGCAGATGCCATCATTTTCAAAGTTCATTTTGGTGTCAGGAAAATGAAGAAAGTACAGAGGGAAGCAAAAATATTTTCCAAAGCCTGCTCCAGGGGAAGTCTGAAGTATTCAGGATGCTTTTCAAAACCACCTTACCCCAGTGCTCCTAGCAAAATTTCTGAACTTTATAACGAAACCTGGGCAACTGGAATCGTAATAACCTTAACTTCTATTTATATGGAAACTTCCTCAGAATTGGATGGCAATCATGAAAAGCACGTTATCAATTATTTTCCCAATTTAATTTGATGGGAAGGGAGTGTAGCATTTTTTTTTAACAAATGTATGGAAGGAGAGGTGATAACATTTGCCAATGTCATTTGATGAAATGGCCAAGGGCATATTTTATCACATTGGTAAGTTGTCCTTCTGCTCACGCACTCCTTGACCCAGCTGTGTGTGCCCCTTACCTCCTCTCTGTTGCTAGGGATGCTTCTGGCAAGGTCGGGGGGTAAAGCATGGTCCTCAGTGGGCCTGGGTTTCTAGATGGCTTCCTGACCGCCCCATAGGCAGATTCCCTTGCCCATGCTCCACATACTCTCCAAGTTTAATATCTGTTCTTCCTGTCCTTTCCACTCCTTCCTCAACCAAAGTGACTTCCAGATTTCCTAGTGAAATGGAGAGTGCAGTTGAGATTTGAAATAAAAAGCAAAGAGATGGAAGGAAATTTTTTGCAAGTGGCAGAAATGGTTTTAACTCAGAATTTGCTCCTCATGGGCCAGGCCATTTTTTCTTATCCTGCATGTACAGGGATATCCAGTTCTGCTTGCAGCTTCTCAAGATGTAACCTCTTTCAAACCTCAGTGCTGGAAGGCTGCCTCCCACTGTGATTCTAGAGCATTCTTGTCAAAGGAAGCACTACC
The DNA here is from genome assembly GCF_000001405.40 of Homo sapiens. Classification (NCBI taxonomy): domain Eukaryota; kingdom Metazoa; phylum Chordata; class Mammalia; order Primates; family Hominidae; genus Homo; species Homo sapiens. The sequence goes on along the minus strand of NC_000013.11, from coordinate 76,360,964 downwards.
CACACTCAACATACACATTGACATACTCTTCTGATTTTATTTTGTCACTCTAAACTCCCTTGCTTATGGTTCTAGAAATCAGAATCTTTTTGTCACTTAATATCTATTTCTCTGCTTTTTGCTGACATTCATAACTATTATATTTTATGCTTGGTTTTACTTGAAGGAAGCCAAACAAAAATTCCATCTTGATTCTTAAGCCAGAGGAAAGGAAGTGCTGTTTTTATGGAGTTGTATGCATCCTGTACCCCTGCTCCTACTCAATGGAGCTACGAGAGCATCTGAAAAATCACCCTGAATGATTTTATTGGTAATTTTATTTTATTACTTGAGGCTTCTATCATGAAATTTCTGCTGAAAATGACCATTTCCATGGCTGTGAAAGAAAATGCCAACTTTTTTCTCTGATGGACAGATTATAATGAGTTCAATATGGCAACTCTTAAACTTTTAAATATTTTACAGGGAATTTCTAAGCATACTACATATATTCATTATTGCTTTTAGCACACTTATTTCAGCATAAAATGACATGTGCTCATGAGTGGGTTTATTTATTTATTTATAACCAGACTTTTTAGGTATATAACCCCTTTATCCCACTGTTTTAAAAATACATTTGGTAAAATTTTATGTGTCTACTTTATAAATGCATTTGATGATAAAAACAAAACATAAAAAGATATTTGAGGCCTTCTAGACTTTTATTTAGAAAACTGTACATTTAAACTAGGCATGAGGTTTTTTACAAGTATAGTGGGTGGCAAAATTATTAGGTCAATTTATCTGTTCTACACATTTAGGACCTATTTCTTGATGGCAGTTTTGCCATTTATTTACTTCTGTTGCAAATGAAATCTTTGGACTCGGGGGTTTGGTCTTTGGTTTAAAATACCCCTTGGGGCCAAAAGAAAAGGAATAAGCAGAAAACTAAGATGTGTCCCTCACTTTCTTCCCCCTTCTCCCACTCTCTCTCCCTCTCTCTATCTCACACACACACACACACACACACAAAACACACACACACAGACACTTATGCATGTAGATGTCTTGGTGCCATGAGGTTTTGGCCATTTTGGAAGACTTGGTTCAGGATAGCAACAATGACAGACAGCATTCATCTGGAGGAAAATGCTAGTGGAGACAGTGATGCTTGGTGGGAAATCACCACTGTATAGACTGTGGCCTTCAGTTCTGTAAACAGGTTGAAGATTTAGTTGACAAATTAGATTATTGATGGAGCAAGATTATTATGAGAGGGAAAGTGAATCTCAACCTAGGTAGAAGAACTGACTGGTTATGAGTAGATATATCTTTTTCTCTGAGACATTAGAAAAGAAAATTAAGATGGATGTGTTATTCATTCCTAGTAACTTCTCTTTTTTTCTGGAAATAGAATACAGTGTGACTGTTGAAAGTCAACAGGCTTTGAAGGCTTGAAGGTAACAGTGAATATCTGAAAATGGCCATTGTGAAGCATAGGAGAAAACATTTAGCAAAGGCTGAGGATGATGATGGTACATTTGTCATTGTACTCAGCTATGCTGCTTTCAGCTTTTCTCTGTTTGCAGTCAAGAAATAGGAAAGGAAACAATTGTTGGTATTAAAGCAGAGGAGAGACTCTGTGAAGCTGATTTCAGTGATGGGACAGAGATATTTTAAGAATGGAATGTTGGTCTGTAGGGTCTAGATTGAATGGAGAAGAAAATGAGGGAAGAATGGGTTGAGGATATGAGGTGAAAGGAAAGAGTTGGGGACTGGGAATAGCCTTGGAGAAAAAGGAGAGCATGGAGCAAGGTTTTATAAGATAGAGAAGCCAGTATAGTAGAGATGAGATAATAACAGAATTGGGAAGGTAGTGAGCTATGGTTACGAATTGGAAGTAAGAAATAAATAGGTATTGTTTTGGTTTGGTGAAGATTAGGATGGCTAAATTTGTAAATATAAAGAAACCTTTGTTTATTCATCCATTCTGCTCCAGTTGAGAACTTGAGTCCTCAATGATGTAGGCAGAAAGTGGAAAAGGTAAGATGACTTGTGCACCAGAATTTCAAATGTTTGATGACCTTAAAAGCAAAAAGGGAAGAGGGGAGTAGTTATGGAGAATGGTAGGACTCCTCTAACCCCACAAAATAAGATAGAATTATTGCAGGAAGCAACCACAGAGTGCAGAAAACAGATTGAGCCTTGGAAGTCTTCTTCCATAAGGAAAGCACAGGGGTTAAATTTAGGCCTGACCAACAATTCTAGGGATAACAGTAGAAATCTGTGAATTTGGGTTACTTATTAATAAAATTCCAATAAATATGTAGGTTTCATCCCCCAGACTTCTGGTTTGACCCACAGCCTTATATAATCACTTCTGGGGTCCTGAGACTGATTTCTGTCAAGGTAAGATATGTTTTGTTCAGTGAACCCAAACCATTAATAAATAATGAGTACCACTTTTGAAATGTTCTGTTTTCAGTGTTGAGTGCTAAAGGAAGCTTCTCTGGTTTTGATTCTCCTACTAGTTTCACCTGACGGGATTTGAATACCGGAAAATTACTAACTACTCAAAACTTGTTTCTTTACCTGTAAAATAGGTATAGTAACAGTATTGAACTCACAGATGATGGTGAAGATTGAATATGGTGACACATGTAAGTAAAGGTAAAGAACATAGAACAGAGACACATCACTCAATGAACATCAGCTGTTTTCTATGATTATTGTTGAACAAGATTTCCTTGAGTAATATTTTTACCTTATGAAATTTTATTATATATAAATTGGCAGAGAACTAGTGTTATGATGTCTAATTAAATGTCATAACAGTTCTTACAATCTTTGAGAGAAGTGCTATAATAAAAAATCATAAATAAATTAATATGGTGCAACAAGCCTGGGGCCCTTAGGAATTCATTAAAGGAATATCTCACTTCGGGGTATATGGTGTAGTGGTATTGAACCTGGTATTGGAAGATCTGATTTCAGCTGCTGACTTTATTCTTTCCTACATTTTTATCTTTTAGTAAATTATTTCCTGAAGTCTCAGTGTCCTCATCTGCAAAATGACAGTAATAATAGTACCCCCTCCTTGGGCTGTTATGAGGATTAAATGACATAAAAATAACCCAGCATAGACCCAAATCCAAGGTTGAGACTTGATAACTCCTACTCTCCTACATCTGCTCAAATTCCAATAGACTTGATTATCTGATTTTCCAGCTCACAGGTTATTTGGAACAGTAAATTAAAGTGAGGAAGGCTGATAGAAGAAGTTTCACTGATTTTAATAAAAAGTGATGGCTGGTAAACTGATGTGGCACAAGCAATAGAAGAAAAATTAAAAACAGATATAAGATATTTTAGAAATACAAAGTAATCTGGGACATTTAATTAGGCAACAAACAACCATACAAAACTCAAAAGTTATGAGAAATCACAATCTCTAACAGTACAATAAACAATGATTTTAACAGAGATCTTGAGCTACTGGATTTTGAGCTACTTGAGAACAGGTTGTTCTTATATTTAAGGAGAGGGAGTGAGGGCATAAAGTGAGAAAGCAGCCTCTGCATGTATCTTCCCACATAGGATCTTAGTTGGTTTTTACAGAAATTATGAGGTAAATATTTTTATTCTACCTCAAAGAGTAGAAGACTGAGGTGCAGAAAAATTAAGTAACAGCCCAAGCTCACACATCAAAGAAAGCAGTCTATTTTTTGTAAAAGATTTTCAGAAAAGTATGATTAGAATCTAAACATGTACGTGGGACCACTTATTTTCTAGCTATTATAGAAAGAGAAGATAAAATATGGGCCAATTTAGAAGTCAAAAATTTGTAAACTCAAGGAATTTAAATTATTAGCTCATGCAGAGGAGGGAAAATAACAAAATTATATGAATTACATAAGCATATTTTCTGAGGTTCTTCGGATTTTAGAAAGCAATTTTATATCACACGAAGAAACGTTTAATAGGTATTGGAACCATCAAAGAAGTAATAAAATATAGATTATTGTATTAGTCCATTTTCACACTGCATACCCATGACTGGGTAATTTACAAAGAAAAGAAGTTTAATTGACTCACAGTTCCACATGGCTGGGGAGGCCTCACAATCATGGTAGAAGACAAAGGAAGAGCAAAGGGATATTTTTCATGGCAGCCAGCAAAGAGAGAGAAAGAGGGCCAAGCAAAAAGGATTTCCCCTTATAAAACCATGAGCTCTCATGAGACTTATTCACTACCATGAGAACATTATGGGGAAAACTGTCTGCATGATTCAATTATCTCCCACCAGATCCCTCCCACAACATGTGGGAATTATGGGAGCTACAACTCAATATGAGATTTGGGTGGGGACACAGAGCCAAACCATATCATTCTGCCCCTGGTCCCTCCAAATCTCATGCTCTCACATTTCAAAACCAATCATGCCTTCCTAACAGTCCCCCAAAGTCTTAACTCATTTCAGTATTAACTCAAAAGTCCACAATCTAAAGTCTCATCTGAGATAAGGCAAATCCCTTCCACCTATGAGCCTGTAAAATCAAAAGCAAGTTAGTTACTTCCTAAATACGATGGGGTTACATGCATTGGGTAAATACAGCCATTCCAAATGGGAGAAATTGGCCAAAATGCAGGGGCCAAGGCTCCATGCAAGTTCAAAATCCAGCAGGGCAGTCAAAACTTGAAGCTCCAAAATGATCTCCTTTGACTCCATATCTCACATCCATGTCACACTGATGCAAGAGGTGGATTCCCATGGTCTTGGGCAACACCACCCCTGTGGCTTTGCAGGGTGCAACCACCTTCTTGGCTGCTTTCATGAGTTGGTGTTGAGTGTGTGTGGCTTTTCTAGGTGAACAGTGCAAGGTGTTGGTAGATCTGCCATTCTGGGGTCGGACAGTGGCCCTCTTCTCACAGTTCCACTAGGGACTCCACTAGTGCCCCAGTAGGGACTCTGTGTGGGGCCTCTGACCCCATGTTTTCCTTCTGCACTGCCCTAGCAGAGGTTTTCCTTGAGAACCCTGCCCCTGCATTAAACTTCTGCCTGGACATCCAGGTGTTTCCATATATCCTCTGAAATTTAGGCAGAGGTTCCTAAACCTCAGTTCTTGACTTCTGTGCACCTGCAGGCTCAATACCACCTGGAACCTTCCAAGACCTGGGGCTTGCACACTCTGAAGCCACAGCCCAAGCTATACCTTGGCCCCTTTTAGCCATGGCTAGAGTAGCTGGGAGGCAGGGCACCAATTCCCTAGGCTGGACACAGTAGAGGGGGGCTTGGTCCCGGCCCAAGAAACCATTTTTTCCTTCTAGGCCTCAGTGCCTGTGGTGCAAGGGGCTGCCACAAAAGTCTCTGACATGTCCTGGAGACATTTTCGCCATTGCCTTGGTGATTAATATTTGGCTCCTCATTACTTACACAGATTTCTGCAGCCAGCTTGAATTTCTCCTCAGAAAATGGGGTTTTCTTTCCTACTGCATCATCAAGCTGCAAATTTTCTGAACTTTTATGCTCTGTTTCCCTTTTAAAACTGAATCCTTTTAACAGCATCCAAGTAACCTCTTGAAGGCTTTGCTGCTTAGAAATTTCTTCCATCAGATACCCTAAATCATTTCCCTCAAGTTTGAAGTCCCACAAATCTCTAGGGCAGGAGCAAAATGCCACCAGTCTCTGCTAAAGCATAGCAAGAGTCATGTTTACTCCAGTTCCTAACAAGTTCCTCATCTCCATCTGAGACTACCTCAGTCTGGATTTCATAGTCGATAGTTATCAGCATTTTGGTCAAAGCCATTCAACAAGGCTCTAGGAAGTTCCAAACTTTCCTAAATTTTCCCGTCTTCTTCTGAGCCCTCCAAATTGTTACAGCTTCTGTCTGTTATCCAGTTCCAAAGTTGCTTCCACATTTCCGAGTATCTTAACAGCAGCACTCCACTCTACTGGTACCAATTTAGTGTCTTAGTCCATTTTCATGCTGTGTACTGGAGACTGAGTAATTTATAAAGAAAAGAAGTTTAATTGACTCACAGTTCCACATGGCTCGGGAGGCCTCACAATCATGGTGGAAGATGAAGGAAGAGCAGAGGGACAAAATTCATGGCAGCTGGCAAAGAGAGAATAAAAGTCAAGTGAAAGGGGTTGCCACTTATACAACCATCAGATCTCAAGAGACTTATTGACTACCATGAGAACAGTATAGGGGAAAAACACCTCCATGATTCAATTATCTCCCACCAGATCCCTCCCACAACACATGGGAATTATAGGAGCTATAATTCAAGATGAAATTTGGGTGGCGACACAGAGCCAAGCTATATCAAATATTGTGTTTAAAAAATCTGCCATAAATCTTGTTATTGGCTGAGTGATGTCTACTTAAAATTCATACATTGAAATCCCAATCCCCAGTACCTCATAGTGTAACGATATTGGAAGAGAAAGTCTTTAAAGAGAAGGTTAAGTTAAAATGAGGATCCAATAGACTTGTGTCTTTGTAAGAAAGGAAGAGACATGAAAGGTGCATGCACACACAGTGGAGAGACCATCTACAAACAAAGGAGAAAAGTCTCAGGAGAAACAATACCTGCTAACATCTTGATCTCGGACTTCCACCATCTAGAACTGTGAGAAAATAAGTTTTTGTTTAGTTTCCCCGTATGTGATGTTTTATTATGGCAACCTCAGTAGATGAGCATAAACCCTTTCTTGGGTGGGTATATTATGCGCAGATGAACAATTCTGTTATAATCACTTGCAAAGTCTATAAACTACAGCTTTACAAATAATCAATATTAAAATAATGAGTGCGAATTATCCTTCATGTCAAACAATTACAGGAAAAGATCGATGTCTAGCATCGTTGAACATCAGGGAATTACATTTCCTTTACTGATTTATGGTATTCAAGGCTAACACTGGAATAGCATATATCGAATTTATTAATTTTCAATATTTATATGGTGAGGTTTTGACTTTTAAGTAGGATTATTATTCACCCACACCATATCATCTAATATGGCTCATGATTTTTGCCTTGAAACATTTTCCAGATCGATATTTTTGCTCAATTTGGGTTGTAAACACTCTAATCTTGGCCTCTTTCTTCCTATACCTGGATTTCTAATGTCTCTTGCATAATCTCTCTCTAGTTTATAAGGCTCTAATATACTCTTTATACCATTCTCAACAAATTGACTTTTTAATCAAGTTAATCTCTTGTTCAAAACTGAACAATAGCTTTCTATTAACATCAAATATAACTTTCTCTGAGTCTTAGGGCATTCCCATAATCTGACTCCTACCTTCTAATGGTCATCCACACAACTACTTAATCATATTGTCCACTGATCTTTAATTATCACCCACCTTTCCAGCCTTTCAAACAGATCTTGTTACCATTCTTTGAATAAACCACTTTTGCTGTTTTTTCTTCATATCATAGCTTAATCGGTTTTACCACCCAACAGAGAATGCGTATTGTTAAGATCATTCCACGTTTCAAAAATTATTAACTATTAAACTCATATTAATTTTGACCCTCTCACGACAGTTAATTTCTTGAAAATATCACAAATTGGAATTTTGTATCCCTAGCCGAGTAAGTACTATTATGTCCTCCTCCTGTCCCCTAAAAACTCACAGTATGACGTTATTCAGGGGGAACACAACGGATGCTTGCCAATCAGTGTATTTACTATTATAAACACTTCCAAAATATTCAATTTTTTCATTATTTTAAAATTCATCAATTTATTTTTACCATCTACACACATTGGTTAATACCTACTGCTTGTCTGGTATTGACCTACCAGAGACTAGATATTGGTCATAGAAACGTGAAAGACGTGTAGCCATTACTCGAAAGAGGCTGATAATCTATAAACACAGACAGATGCAAACAGAAAGATGCTGTGTGATGAGTGAATCCACAGAGGCAGGTGCAGTGCTGCTACAAAGTGATCACCTCTGCTTTATAGATGAGAGAAAGGAGCACAGAAGGAGAAATTCTTGAGCTCAGCCTTTAGGGATGGGCAGGCATTCATCTAGCTGATAAGGAAAAGGAAGTCTCAGAGTGGAAAACAGTAATTCCTTGACAAATAATACACACAAGCAAAGTATTTGATCGATACTTGTCTAGGTTCAATACTCATTGACTCTCTGAATAGAGAAAAGAGATTTAAAGCATCTATAAAGCCAAGAAAATAAAATTAAGTTTTAGACAAAATTGAGGGTAGGAGAACAAGGGAGAAATCAAGTTTGAAAAAGAGATAAAAGCTAACATGACAAACAGATGGAAAAAAAATACAGCTATTATATTTGACCATAATATTTAGCCTTGAGTTTCCCAAGAGACATGGGGAAGGGAGAAACATAAAACATTACTCCAACCTTGAAGAATAATGGGAGGAAAATTATGTTTCTCAGTGAAGACAAATTTATCTTTATCCTAAACTCAAGGAAAATATCTGTCACTGGGAATTAGATCTGGGAGATATAGTAGAGAATGTTCTCACAGATACTTTTACAGCTAACACAAAAGTGAATGCATATAAATATTTCTTACATTTTTACATATCTGTACATTTTTATCTACAAAGAAAACACTCTGAGTTTTTGTAGAATAAATGCATGTAAGTCCTTCATTAGAAAGAAAGATCAGAAATATAGAAGATTTTATGAATAGTATTTTAGTGAGAAAAGTTATTTTCAGCTACATATTTAACACTAAGAATTCTCCTGCAAATTATTCTCAAACACCTGACGCCCCCCCACTTTTGCCCCTGCACTGCCACAAAAGTCAAGAAATTTCCCGGTGCAAATAAACTTAATAGTTTTACTTTCTTGTTAAAAACATTAAGACTGTTCCTTTCCTTTCTGTTTTCTGAATAATTTAGTTGTTCAGATGCTCATGAATATGTCATGCATGATAGTTTACGATATCCATAGAGTGATTCAGCAGTAGGCCTACTAAGATATTCAAAAATGTGCATTTATTCAGAGAGCCATTTTATATGTACTTTTTCCACTACAGACAATTTTCAAAATAAAATTATTTTTTTCTGAAATGTAAACAGGGGACTATGCTTTTTTTGTTTGTAAATGTTTATTTTCATATGTTTACCCTTGCTTTCTTAGTAAGCTCACAGCATTTATTATGTGCAAGTTACATTTTATGTAAGGAGCCCAGAGCGTAAGAGCCAGTCCAGTTTGGCTGATGTCCTGGCTAACATACAGGGACTCTGCATGTCATTCCCTCATTTTTTAACAAAAGTAACAGATCGTCTTTATTGGCCTTCCTGAGTGCCACTCTGTAAGTCATTTAATCAAGAAAGAAAATTGGTACAACAAAATTTGGGCTGCTTTTACCATGTTCCCAGATGTAAAAACAAAAGTATCACATATTGGATTTTGATGTTTCTATCAACTGCTTAGTGATTTCCAAGCAAGAAAATACAAAATTATTTCCCCTGGATATTATAGCCTACTTGTGATGCCAATTTTCTCTGTTATTTTTGTTTAGCTTCTTTAATCATGAAATATACCATACTTGAGAAATAAGTAATAAGAAACTGAGCATGAGGATGCTGATAATGAAAAGCTTGCTGGGTGTCCTGGTGTGCAGGTCAGATATCAGCCAGCAGATCATGGAAACCAGAGAGAATAAATTTCTTTAAATGATGAGTGAAATGCATTGTGTGAAAGATATAGATATTCCTAGGCCAGATGATTACTATGTACTTTTTAACATAAAATTTTCATGATTATATACAAAGAAAGCTAAAGTTTTGACTTGCAAATGATGAAAAAGAAACCTCTTTGTTAACTACACACATTTATTGTAATCTTTACAAAACTAACTTCATAGGATAATAGGCTTTTAATGTTGGCTAAAGTTATCTTATTTTAATTAGCCATGATTTTTTTTTACAACTCCAGACTGGAAATCAGTAACCTTTTTCTGGGTTACCGATTAGACCAACAATTAAATATTTCTTGCTTTGTAGGCTAACTAGGCTTTGCCACAACTAATCAACTTTGCCATTGTAAAGCAAAAATAGTGCTAGACAGCATGTAAAAAAAATGAATGTGACTGTATGCCAATAAAACTTTATTTACAAAAACAGATGGTGGGGCAAGTTTGGACTGCAGGGTGAAGTTTGCTCATCCCTTCTCTGACTCCATAAGTGAGTTGATGTGCTCAGTTCAGTGATGCCTGAAACAATATCAAAAAAAGGAGTTAAAATGATATTAATACAGAAGATAAGAGAGAAAATTCTTACATTCAACAAATATTTACAGAGCAATTACTATGTGTCAAGCCCAGTACTAAGTGTTGGGAAATCAATGATGAAGAAACTGCAATACCTTCTGCATTCCTGGCCCCCTTCCCGCCACTCCAAGAAGTTTATACACAAAAAAGAGATAAGGAAAGCAAATTATAACATGGAATGTTTATTGTACTGTGTTAAAAATTGTGATAGATTCTATGACTTGGGTAAGCATGGGGTGTTACAGGAGCATCTCTTTCTATTTTCTGCTAAGAACTTGAAAGCAGTAGTTCAAGGTTTTATGAACAGAAACCAAACACTGCATGTTCTCACTCATAAGTGGGAGTTGAACATGAGAACACATGGGAGATAGGGAGGGGAAGATCACACACCCTGTGTGTTGGGGTCTGTTGGGGGTTGGGGGGCTGGGGAAAGATAGCATTAGGAGAAATACCTAATGTAGATGACGAGTCGATGGGTGCAGCAAACCACCATGGCACATGTATACCAATGTAACAAACCTGCACGTTCTGCACAGGTACCCCAGAACTTAAAGTATAATAAAAAAAAAAAGTCATTTCTAAGTATACAATCAGATTGTTATTCTCACATTTCCTTTATCCTTATCCTCCCTCTCTTCAATTTTTTTCTGTCATTCAATCACTATTGTCAGCCTACTTTTGTCCAATTTAATCTATAAGAGACATATCCTCTTAAAATCATGTAACAATAGAGTGGAAAGGAACCCTTACAGGTCACCTAGTAGAGTCCCCATATATTTCAGATGACAAATAATGAAACTTAGAATGGTCAGATTATGTGGTCAAAGCCCCATGAGAGAAGTATGATTAGAATGTGAATTTTGGTGCTATGCCAGTTCTGACCCTGTATAATATCTTAAATTCAGAAGCAACGTTGTAGCTAATAAGAATGTAACCACCCCAAATAAGAATGTTATCCCCAAATTAAGAAAATATGGCACTTGATGTAAGGACTGACTCGAAAAATTATTTTTCCTATTTTTGAGCTACAAAAATTTTCTAAATTCAGATTCTCCAACAGTTCATTTGCTTTCTTGCCAGATAGGTATTCTTGCACACTTACTGTTCTAATTATAATTGTGTGGAATGTCACTCATTTTTTTTCAAAACCTTAATCTATATTTAGGCAAAAAAGATTTCTAAGAAAAAGAACTCAACATACCATGTAGACAATTACAGATCTAAATTTGTCATTATAAAATTTCCTCCAGGTAAAAAGCAAATTTAAATTTCTTGAAACTTTTGGTGTTGATAGAAATAGTCACAGTATTTGGGGCAAAGAGGCATCCTTGCAGGGCCTTGCAGAGTAATACCTACCAGATTTCAAAGTAAATTAATTATAAGGAAATAAACTAACTGCAGACAAAGTAGGGTCAGTGAAAAGGGAAAATGTAAGAGCAAATAGCTGTGGTAGTCAAAGAAAGCCTCCTTCATTTGTTCAATTGAATTCACTTTAAAATAATTCTTTAAAACATAAGTCTACAGTGTGGAACAAATTAATGTCCAGACAAATCATATCCATTCTTCCTTCAAGTGTCATGGAACTAGCATTTAGCTAATAATAAATTTTTTTTTCAGGGCAGTTTTGTTTGTAGAGCTGAATTTGTCAGTTTTCTGTTGTAATCTGTGCACCTGATTCATTCTGTGAGACGGGATTGGCGGAGGAAGAGAATGGAGGCAATGTTCATAGATGACTTTCTTTCTCAAGTATACTTAAAAGGTGTTTAGGAAGGGAATTTTTAAGTTAACAAAAACAGAAAATGTTATAAAGTTGAAAACATATTTAATGATGACTCATAAATATAATGGCTATAATGATAAGTGAAGAATTAGTTTATATGCCGAGAGAGAAAGAAAAATATGTGGTAGTCTGAGGAAGTATGTTGTGGACATTGCTATGGGACAAGTAGATAATATCTTTTTTTTTAAATTATACCTTAAGTTTTAGGGTACATGTGCACAACATGCAGGTCTGTTACATATGTATACACATGCTATGTTGGTGTGCTGCACCCATTAACTCATCATTTACATTAGGTATATCTCCTAATGCTATCCCTCCCCCTCCCCTGACCCTACGACAGGCCCCAGTGTGTGATGTTCCCCTCCCTGTGTCCAAGTGTTCTCATTGTTCAATTCCCACCTATGAGTGAGAACAAGCGGTGTTTGCTTTTCTGTCCTTGTGATAGTTTGCTCAGAATAATAGTTTCCAGCTTCATCCATCTTCCTACAGAGGACATGAACTCATTCATTTTTATGGCTGCATAGTATTCCATGGTGTATATGTGCCACATTTTCTTAATCCAGTCTATCACTGATGGACATTTGGGTTGGTTTCAAGTCTTTGCTAATGTGAATAGTGCCGCAATAAACATACATATGCATGTGTCTTTATAGAAGCATGATTTGTAATCCTTTGGGTATATGCCCAGTAATGGGATGGCTGGGTCAAATGGTATTTCTAGTTCTAGATCCCTGAGGAATCGCCACGCTGACTTCCACAATGGTTGAACTAGTTTACAGTCCCACCAACAGTGTAAAAGTGTTCCTATTTCTCTACATCCTCTCCAGCACCTGTTGTTTCCTGACGTTTTAATGATCGCCATTCTAACTTGTGTGAGATGGTATCTCATTGTGATTTTGATTTGCATTTCTCTGATGGCCAGTGATGATGAGCATTTTTTCATGTGTCTGTTGGCTCCATAAATGTCTTCTTTTGAGAAGCATCTGTTCATAACCTTTGCCCACTTTTTGATGGGGTTGTTTGATTTTTTCTTGTAAATTTTTTTAAGTTCTTTGTAGATTCTGGATATTAGCCCTTTGTCAGATGGGTAGATTGCAAAAAATTTCTCCCATTCTGTAGGTTGCCTGTTCACTCTGATGGTAGTTTCTTTTGCTGTGCAGCTCTTTAGTTTGATTAGATCACATTTGTCTATTTTGGCTTTTGTTGCCATTGCTTTTGATGTTTTAGTCATTAAGTCCTTGCCCATGCCTATGTCCTGAATGATATTGCCTAGGTTTTCTTCTAGGGTTTTTATGGTTTTAGGTCTTACATTTAAGTCTTTAATCCATCTTGAATTAATTTTTGTATAAGGTGTAAGGAAGGGATCCAGTTTCAGCTTTCTACATATGGCTAGCCAGTTTTCTTAGCACCATTTATTAAATAGGGAATCCTTTCCCCATTTCTTGTTTTTGTCAGGTTTGTCAAAGATCAGATGGTTGTAGATGTGTGGTATTATTTCCAAGGGCTCTGTTCTGTTCCATTGGTCTATATCTCTGTTTTTGTACCAGTACCATGCTGTTTTGTTACTGTAGCCTTGTAGTACAGTTTGAAGTCAGGTAGCATGAAGCCTCCAGCTTTGTTCTTTTGGCTTAGGATTGTCTTGGCAATGCAGGCTCTTTTTTGGTTCCATATGAACTTTAAAGTAGTTTTTTCTAATTCTGTGAAGAAAGTCATTGGTAGCTTGATGGGGATGGCATTGAATCTATAAATTACCTTGGGCAGTATGGCCATTTTCACAATATTGATTCTTCCTATCCGTGAGTATGGAATGTTCTTCCATTTGTTTGTATCCTCTTTTATTTCACTGAGCAGTGGTTTGTAGTTCTCCTTGAAGAGGTCCTTCTCATCCCTTGTAAGTTGGATTCCTAGGTATTTTGTTCGCTTTGAAGCAATTGTGAATGAGAGTTCACTCATGATTTGGCTCTCTATTTGTCTGTTATTGGTGTATAGGAAAGCTTGTGACTTTTGCACATTGATTTTGTATCCTGAGACTTTGCTGAAGTTGCTTATCAGCTTAAGGAAATACTGGGCTGAGACAATGGGGTTTTCTAGATATACAATCATGTCATCTGCAAACAGGGACAATTTGACTTCCTCTTTTCCTAATTGAATACCCTTTATTTCTTTCTCTTGCCTGATTGCCCTGGCCAGAACATCCAACAGTATGTTGAATAGGAATGGTGAGAGAGGGCATCCCTGTCTTGTGCCTGTTTTCAAAGGGAATGCTTCCAGTTTTTGCCCATTCAGTACGAAATTTGCTGTGGGTTTGTCATAAATAGCTCTTATTATTTTGAGATACATCCCATCAGTACCTAGTTTATTAAGAGTTTTTAGCATGAAGGGCTGTTGAATTTTGTTGAAGGCCTTTCTGCGTCTATTGAGATAATCATGTGTTTTTGTCTTTAGTTCTGTGTGTATGATGGATTATGTTTATTGATTTGCATATGTTGAACCAGCCTTGCGTCCCAGGGATGAAGCCAACTTGATTGTGGTGGATAAGATTTTTGATGTGCTGCTGGATTCAGTTTGCCAGTATTTTATTGAGGATTTTTGCATCGATGTTCGTCAGGGATATTGGTCTAAAATTCGCTTTTTTTGTTGTGTCTCTGCCAGGCTTTGGTATCAGGATGATGTTGGCCTCATAAAATGAGTTAGGGAGGATTCCCTCTTTTTCTATTGATTGGAATATTTTCAGAAGGAATGGTACCGGCTCCTCTTTGTATCTCTGGCAGAATTCAGCTGTGAATCCATCTGGTCCTGGACTTTTTTGGGTTAAGAGGCTATTAATTATTGCCTCAATTTCAGAGCCTGTTATTGGTCTATTCAGGGATTCACCTACTTCCTGGTTTAGTCTTGGGAGAGTGTATGTGTCCAGGAATTTATCCATTTCTTCTAGATTTTCTAGTTTATTTATGTAGAAGTGTTTATAGTATTCTCTGATGGCAGTTTGTATTTCTGTGGGATGGGTGGTGATATCCCCATTATCATTTTTTATTGCGTCTATTTGATTCTTCTCTCTTTTCTTCTTTATTAGTCTGGCTTTTGGTCTATCAATTTTGTTGATCTTTTCAAAAAACCAGCTCCTGGATTCATTGATTTTTTGAAGGGTTTTTTGTGTCTCTATTTCCTGCAGTTCTGCTCTGATCTTAGTTATTTCTTGCCTTCTGCTAGCTTTTGAATGTGTTTGCTCCTGCTTCTCTAGTTCTATTAATTGTGATGTTAGGGTGTCAATTTTAGATCTTTCCTGCTTTCTCTTGTGAGCATTTAGTGCTATAAATTTCCCTCTATAAATTTGAATGTGTCCCAGAGATTCTGGTATGTTATGTGTTTGTTCTCACTGGTTTCAAAGAACATCTTTATTTCTGCCTTCATTTCGTTATGTACCCAGTAGTCATTCAGGAGGAGGTTGTTCAGTTTCCATGTAGTTAAGTGGTTTTGAGTGAGTTTCTTAATCCTGAGTTCAGTTTGATTGCACTGTGGTCTGAGAGACAGTTTGTTCTAATTTCTGTTCTTTTACATTTGCTGAGGAGTGCTTTACTTCCAACTATGTGGTCAATTTTGGAATAGGTGTGATGTGGTGCTGAGAAGAATGTATGTTCTGTTGATTTGGGGTGGAGAGTTCTGTAGATGTCTATTAGGTCTGCTTGGTGCAGAGCTGAGTTCAATTCCTGGATATCCTTGTTAACTTTCTGTCTCGTTGATCTGTCTAATGTTGACAGTGAGCTGTTAAAATCTCCCATTATTATTGTGTGGGAGTCTAAGTTTCTTTGTAGGTCTCTAAGGACTTGCTTTATGAATCTGGGTACTCCTGTGTTGGGTGCATATGTATTCAGGATAGTTAGTTCTTCTTGTTGAATTGATCCCTTTACCATTATGTAATGGCCTTGTCTCTTTTGATCTTTGTTGGTTTATAGTCTGTTTTTTCAGAGACTAGGATTGCAACCCCTGCTTTTTTTTGTTTTCCATTTGCTTGGTAGATCTTCCTCCATCCCTTTATTTTGAGCCTGTGTGTATCTCTGCATGTGAGATGGGTCTCCTGAATACAGCACACTGATGGATCTTGACTTTTTATCAAATTTGCCAGTCTGTGTCTTTTAATTGGAGTATTTAGCCCATTTACACTTAAGGTTAATATGTTATGTATGAAATTGATCCTGTCATTATGATGTTAGCTGGTTATTTTGCTCGTTAGTTGATGCAGTTTCTTCCTAGCCTCGATGGTCTTTACAATTTAGCACATTTTTTCAGTGGCTGGTACCGGTTGTTCCTTTCCATGTTTAGTGCTTCCTTCAGGAGCTCTTGTAAGGCAGGCCTGGTGGTGACAAAATCTCTCAGCATTTGTCTGTCTGCAAAGGATGTTATTTCTCCTTCACTTATGAAGCTTAGTTTGGCTGGATATGAAATTCTGTGTTGAAAATTCTTGTCTTTCTTTTTTTGTGGGGGAGAGGGTACGGAGTCTCACTCTGTCACCCAGGCTGGAGTGTGGTGGCGCAATCTCGGCTCACTGCAAGCTCTGCCTTCTGGGTTCATGCCATTCTCCTGCCTCAGCCTCCCGAGTAGCTGGGACTACAGGTGCCCACCACCACGCCCAGCTAATTGTTTGTATTTTTAGTAGAGACGGGGTTTCACCGTGTTAGCCAGGATGGTCTCGCTCTCCTGACCTCGTAATCCACCTGCCTCGGCCTCCCAAAGTGCTGGGATTACAGGCGTGAGCCACTGCACCCGGCCGAAAATTCTTGTCTTTAAGAATGTTGAATATTGGCCCCCACACTCTTCTGGCTTGTAGAGTTTCTGCTGAAAGATCTGCTGTTAGTCTGATGAGCTTCCCTTTGTGGGTAACCTGACCTTTCTCTCTGGCTGCCCTTAACATTTTTTCCTTCATTTCAACTTTGGTGAATCTGACACTTATGTGTCTCGGAGTTGCTCTTCTCGAGGAGTATCTTTGTGGTGTTCTCTGTATTTCCTGAATTTGCATGTTGGCCTGCCTTGCTAGGTTGGGGAAGTTCTCCTGGATAATATCCTGCAGAGTGTTTTCCAACTTGGTTCCATTCTCCCCGTCACTTGCAGATACATCAATCAGACGTAGATTTGATCTTTTCACATAGTCCCATATTTCTTGGAGGCTTTGTTCATTTCTTTTTACTCTTTTTTCTCTAAACTTCTCTTCTCACTTCATTTAATTCATTTGATCTTCAATCACTGATACTCTTTCTTCCACTTGATCAAATCAGCTACTGAAGCTTGTGCATGCATCACGTAGTTCTAGTGCCATGGTTTTCAGCTCCATCAGGTCATTTAAGGACTTCTCTACACTGTTTATTCTAGTTAGCCATTCATCTAATCTTTTTTCAAGGTTTTTAGCTTCTTTGCAATGGGTTTGAACATCCTCCTTTAGCTTGGAGAAGTTTGTTATTACTGATCGTCTGAAGCCTTCTTCTCTCAACTCATCAAAGTCATTCTCCACCCAGCTTTGTTCCATTGCTGGTGAGGAGCTGCGTTCCTTTGGAGGAGAAGAGGCATGCTCTGATTTTTAGAATTTTCAGCTTTTCTGCTCTGGTCTCTCCCCATCTTTGTGGTTTTATCTACCTTTGGTCTTTGATGATAGTGATGTACAGATGGGGTTTTGGTGTGGATGTCCTTTTTGTTAGTTTTCCTTCTAACAGTCAGGACCCTCAGCTGCAGGTCTGTTGGAGTTTGCTGGAGGTCTACTCCAGACCCTCTTTGCCTGGGTATCACCAGCGGAGGCTGCAGAACAGCAAATATTGCAGAATGGCAAATGTTGCTGCCTGATCCTTCCTCTGGAAGCTTTGTCTCAGAGGGGCACCAGGCCGTATGAGGTGTCAGATGGCCCCTACTGGGAGGTGTCTCCCAGTTAGGCTACTCGGGGTTCAGAGACCCACCTGAGGAGGCAGTCTGTGTGTTCTCAGATCTCAAACTCCCTGTTGGGAGAACCACTACTCTTTTCAAAGCTGTCAGACAGGGATGTTTAAGTCTGCAGAAGTTTCTGCTGCCTTTTGTTCAGCTATGCCCTACTCCCAGAGGTGGAGTCTACACAGGCAAGCAGGCCTCCTTGAGCTGTGGTGGGCTCCACCCAGTTCGAGCTTCCGGGCTGCTTTGTTTACCTACTCAAGCCTCAGCAATGGCGGATGCCCCTCCTCCAGTCTTGCTGCCACCTTGCAGTTTTATCTTAGACTGCTGTGGTAGCAGTGAGCAAGGCTCTGTGAGCATGGGACCCTCAGAGCCAGGCACAGGATATAATCTCCTCGTGTGCCGCTTGCTAAGGCCATTGGAAAAGTGCAGTATTAGGGTGGGGGTGTCCCAATTTTCCAGGTACCGTCTGTCACGGCCTCCCTTGGCTAGGAAAGGGAATCCCCTGACCCCTTGCACTTCCCAGTTGAGGTGATGCACCACCCTGCTCCGTGGGCTGCACCCACTGTCCGACAAGCCCCAGTGAGATGAACCTGGTACCTCAGTTGTAGATGCAGAAATCATCTGTCTTCTGTGTCGCTCACGCTGGGAGCTGTAGACTGGAGCTCTTCCTATTCGGCCATCTTGTAACCTCCCTGAGAATATCTTTTAGGACAAAATCACCTCATAGGAAGCTTGAATCTATTCACTTAGATAACAGACTTTAAGAATTGTCAAACACAGGAAGCGGTAATGCCAAAATATTTTCATCTCATGTAACAGAGGCTTCTCCTAAATCTGTAACATTCTCACTTCTCAGAGACACTACATAGAAACTCAATTGAAAAGTTCCACTAGTTTACCTTCCTAGAATACTGGCCCTTAATATCAGCTGCTATAATAACTTTTGATTAAATATATGAGAGTGTGTGTATATGTGTGTGTTTGTGCAAGTGAATGTAGGCATATGTGTATAAACAGGATAAAAATTTTAATAACTAAGGCTATTAAAATTGGACCTCTTTTTAATTGGTCATTTGTCTGAAAACTTTCATAGTAGTATTTACCAATGCAGGAAATAAAAACTATAATTTATTAAAAAGAACCCTAGAATGTAAGGTTTGGTAAGGATTATCAACATAACCTGGCCCAACCTTCCATATAGTCATTGAAACTCTCCCACCATATAACATACCTAGTGTAGGTTTATAAGCACTTTTTTTAAAAATGAAAATTAAATGTTTATAAGAAAAGACAGGATAAATACAAAAATATCAAATTTTGTGTAATTTAGGATGCTTGAAATTTTTTATGTATTTTTTAAAGTTAACTTTGAAATTAGAGAATCAAATACAAAGAGTGAGAAATTAAAAAATGCCTTTTCTTGTGTCTTTCTGTGGCTTCTTTACCATAGCTCAAAATCTAACCTCTGGGTTACATAAATCTAATTCTTCTACACTGCATGCCTTTAAATCCGTGAATTAGTCCCTCATTTGCCACTAGAGTCTTTTCTTTGACTAGATAAATAGGATCTATCTCTCTCTTGATATTCATATTCAGTATATGAAAATGGCTATCACATGTTTCATGGTGTATTGAGGGTGGGAGTAAGTCATATCTCACTTGGGGCCTTGATCTTCCAGAATTTATTGCTATGGTTTAATGTGAATTTCACTAATCCTTGATTAATGCCTTTTCCCATATCTTTTATGTATGTTTTCCTTAAAACCCAAGTACTCTATTCTTTTTTCATATGAGATAATTTCTTGGCTCTCCTTGTCAATCATTTCTACTAATTTTTTTTCACTTTGTTTCCTAATATACAATGCCCAGAGGTAAATACTTTGTTTTAGTGGAATACATATGGGCTTTGGTTTGGTAAAGCTGAACAGTGCAAATTTTATCAGTGGTGATTCCCAGTGAGGGAATTTGGTCCGTAAATATCAAGAGCTGTTGCCAATTGCAGGTTAGGGCTTTCAGACCTTGTGGAGGGTGGGGTGGGGGTGCATGATTGAAACTACAGCAAGTGTTGATCAACTCTGTGTTCTTTACAGTTTATCTCCTATTCCTATCTTGGATGACAGTTGTCCCTTTTCAATATTTATTCTTTTTAGTATAAAGATTATTCTTCTTGAAATATATAAAGTGGTTTTGTTTGTTATCCATCATCATTATATAATTTGTCCCTTATTTGGACTGCTTGGTCCAAATAAAAATTTGTAAAGCTCGATTAGGCATTTAGGTTTTACTACAAGACTTGAATAGATCCATTAACTCAATCAATCAGTACTTAGTGAACAGTACTTACTGTTTGTGAGATATTACTTTATGCAGAAGTAGATCTAGGTTTTGAAGTCTTGAAGCTTATACAACTGAGAGGGGAGGTTGTTTAACAACAAGAATACAAAATTAGGTACAAAAAATACTTGTTTAGAATAAGAGAATAAAAATACAAATTTGAAAACAAATCAGAATAAAACAACATTTTCATTAAATAATTGCATAACACATTCCTAAAACATTTTTTCCTGTGTATTTCGGCTGCAGATCCTTTAATTGTATCTTAAATAGCAAATGGCAGTAATTTTATAACTTTATGTAGAAAAATATATTCTTCCTTCTAACATGTTTTATCAAAATAGGTTTTAACTATTATTGACCGAATACATAAAACATGAAACCTTACAAATACATTAACTTATATATAAACACTTAACATATATAAACACTATAGATATTATAGATAGCTACATATTCAATTAATCTGCCTCTAGTATTAAGTGCTAAGATACAAGAAAAACAATATAGAAACAGCGACTGCTTTTCTGGAGTTTGCATTCTGAGGAAAGAAAGAAAATACATAAAGAAACAAATTTAAGACTCTACACTATGATTTTATCTTTTTCATCCCTAGTTTTCAACATGAGGTCTTTGAGAGACCTTTTTACAGGGTCCAAGAAGTCATATCTATTTTCATAATGATACTAAGATATTTGCCTTTTGTACTGTGTAAACATTTGTGCTAATGGAACAAATCAATGCTGGGTAAAACTTCCAATACCTTAGTAGTAATCAAGGCTGTACCCAATGCTAGCTGTTGTATCCCTCACCATCTGCACTCACAGTAAAAGAAGGAAGTGAAACTGGATTTCAGTTAAGAATGTCCTTGATGAGATAGTAAATATCATTGATTTAATTAGATCTCAACACTTATATACACACTATTTTTTTTTTTTTTTTTTGAGACGGGGTTTAGCTCTTGTTGCCCAGGCTGGAGTGCAATGGCATGATCTTGGCTCACCGCAACCTCCACCTCCTGAGTTCAAGTGATTCTCCTGCCTCAGCCTCCCAAGTAGCTGGGATTACAGGCATGCACCACCACGCCTGGCTAATTTTGTATTTTTAGTAGAGACGGGGTTTCTCTATGTTGGTATACACACATTTTTAACAATCCATGTGATAAAATGAAAAGTATGTGCAAAGTGATTCTGTTGCATAGTCAAGAATGATGAGCTTTGGGAAAATCATTCGTGCATTTGTTTAAGTTGTGAGTTGAACTGACTAGTTTCAAAAAAGTTTTTTTGCATTTAAGAGCAACTGAAAAGCTATTGTCTTGGTTTATCTGCCATACCTATTTATAATTTTTTAAAATGAACATGTTACTTGAATAAAACAACTCACATAATTTGTTGCCAATAATAAAATGTGAGGTTTCAGGAAAAAAAATAGCTTCAGGAAAAAAACTTTTATCTTGCCACCATGAACTGGAATGCTTCCCAGTACTTGACTCTTCTGATGAGATTGGTAGTAATAATAACAAATATGATTATTTCATATTGTAAAATGAAAACTATAAACTAACTTATTCCAAATGATCAAATGCATAACATTGCAAAATCATGCCAGAATAAAAGATTTATTCCAAGTGCAAGAGTGATCAATTAAATTTAATGTATCAGAGTATGTAAAGTTCATTGACATCATTTCAGATTCCGTATTTCAATTAGCCTTTAAGAGGCTACCACTTGTCAAGTTTTGTTGTAGTATCAAGAAAAATAAATTATAATTATCTGAAAAAGTTATTAAAATATTCCTTCTTTTTCCATCTACATATCTGAAAAAACACATTTTCTTCAAATACTTTGAAATGAGAAATTGAATGCAGAGATAGATATGAGAATGCAATGACCTTCTCTTAAGCCAGACATGTAGACATTTTTTAAATGAAAAATAATGCCTCTCTCTATGCTAAATTTTATTTTTAAAATATAATTATGCTCATTAAATGTTATTTATGTGGATATATAATAGCTTATTTTATTTTACAATAAATTAATAAGCATGTAAAGTTTTTATTTTTAATTTCTGTATGTTAAATATCAATATCATAATGCACAAAAACAAAAACTCTTTGGAGTTCTCAGTAATTTTTAAGAATATGAAGGATTTCTGAGCTAAAACATTTTTGAGTAGCAGTAGTTTATATGCATCCTTCTTTTTGTGCCCTCATTTAAAAAAAACTTTTATGCTTGCTTTCTTGAAAACTGAACTTTCAAATATTTGCCTCCTGTTTCCCTTTTATTATTTTCATAGAGCATCCAGTCTAGTATGCTATTATTAAACTGTATTGTTGTCACCTGTTTTCATATCTGTATGCTTCACCAGATGATAATGATTAATGTTTTCTTATATGAAGGTAATAGGTTTTCTCTTCTCTGAATTTCTCCAATAATAGCTTGCTACAGTCTCCCTGTGTGTGTCTGACTACTCAGTTATTTTAAGATTTTTTTTCCACTATGGCATCATGAATTTGAAGTGGTGCATCAAAGAATTTGAAAGACTGGAGGCCCTCGTCTTCATTTTCGTTTGTCTCTTCTGTAATATTTCCTTGTTGTATTTTTGTCTGTTTTTCTTATCCCTATCTTAGGATGGAAGTGAGGCTGAGAAAGAGGTTGGACCACCTAAACAATATATATATTTTTAATTCTGAGAAGGTTTCTACTTCTCCAGCTAATTATTCGCTTCTGTTGGATGGTTGATTGCTGAGATAGTTTGAATTATTTTTCAACAAATATTCACATTCCTCCCCTATTACTGAAGGCAGAATATATTTCCCTAACCCTTTGATATTTAAGACCAATACCCATTGACCAAGTCTGTTGGCTTTGGTCAAACATATTGGCAGATGTTATACACTTAGTGGATTTAGATTGATTGCATGGTAAAGTTTGACTCTTTCATGTTGGTAATATACTTTGTGAAAAATAGACCGCAGGCTGAACAACCTGCAAGCCAAATCCCAGAGCCAAGTCTAGCTAAGCTGCAGCCCTAAATAGAACTGCCTGAGTGAGCCCAGCCTTAATCAGCAGAGCACAGACTCTGTAAGTTAAGAAGAATTTAACTTTCCTCTCAGCTTCTCTAAACTTTAAATAGGCTTTTTCTGGGTTCTGACCTCCCTTCCCTTAAAGAACTTATTTTACAAAATTTGTCATTGTAAATTCTTTCTCTGCCCCTTCGAAATGTAAATTGTTTTAAAAAGCCTCATGAATGTCTTTCTCAAGGACCTGGGAACCTGTCTTTGAAATGTAATCATCAAGGAAGATAGCACCCCTTACCCCTATCTCCCAGTTTCTATGGCAGGATAGGAGCCTAACTTCAGCAGGTACTTTGCTCCAAGCTGCAAAACTACCTCCTGCCTTGAAGGAAGTTTAGGTTTCCTTTGGGTAAGCCAATTAGTAAGCATATTTAGACTACTATCTACTCCTCAACCCCCCAAAATATCCTTGCTTTAAAAATTCTCCAGCTCTTTGTTTGAGTGGAGTTGGGTTCAAACTGAGTATTAATCATTCTTGTGTTGCAATAGTCTTGGAGAATCTTCCTTGCCTGTTTTACTTTGCCAAGTGCAAGTTTTGTTTTGACAGAATAAATGTTTGTGTCATAGGATAGTGAGTTTTGGGAAGGTTTGTTATGCAGCATTATTACTGGAATAGGTGACTATGAAATTTGGTTGATTAGTTGATTCATTTATGCCTACATCCTGCATTATTTAAGATGATTTTAAAATAAAATTTTAAAAAAACTAGGAAAGAATGATATGGACAGGAAAATAAGAGTTGAGAGGTAAAGTCAAAGAAAGGAACCTAATGCAAAAAATCCAAGAAGAATTATTATAGTTAAGCATTAAATTTAGGTCAGAATTCACTTTCCTGGCAGTGATGGCTTAAAGAAAAAATAAATCCTATAATAATCATTATGTATAATTGGAAGAATGCTGGTATGTTAAAAGAAAAATATGTTTCCTTGTATTTAACAACAGGTAAACCTTTATAATAGGGTCAGTGAGCAATATTTTCAGCAATTTAGCCAAACATGCAAAAGTAATAGTGTGGCTTTCTTTTAGTACTCCTTGATAAAAATCAAGAACGTTTTGTTATATGAGGATTCTATTAACGCATGTCTGTAGAAATAAAAAACAATGAAGTTTAGACACCTAAATTTCTGCTGTTTTTAGGTAATACAGAAAAAACTAGGAAAATTCAAAAGTTACACTCTTTCCCCAGGGAAGTGGTTTTACATGTCTTCTATAGTAATGGGTATCCTTTGTTGAGCATTCTGTGTGTGCCTGGCACTGTAATGGTATTCAATACATATCGTCTCCAGTCTACTTGCAAGACTATTATAATCCCCACTTAAAATACAGGGAAACTTGGTCAAGGTTTATCTGACCCTGAAGGACATCTATGTTCACTATACTAAACTGCTTTTTAGAGATTTATCATTGCTAAGAAATTTTTAAATCATAAAAATTGCAATTATCTCATTAGAAGTTATTATTGAAATTACTTCAGGGTTCCACTAATACCAAAATTTATTGCATATGGTCTGCAGTTCCCATGTCAGGCTGAGTGCACTAGACTCATTTGTGAGGTTATTAAAAATATATGACCTAATCTGAGAGTCTGACCCCAAAATCTTTGAAGGGCTGAGAATTTATTTATTTTTTTACTAACTCCATTGCCTCTATCTAACTCAGAATCAGGCTTAAAAATCATTAAAATTTGTCTTTTGAATAAAAATTATTTCAGCTGGGATTTTAATCAGAATAGAATAGTAAAGATTTTGAGTATACATTGATAAAAAAAAATGCCTGGTTTAGGTATTTTGTTTAATACATTGAAAGGAGAGCCTTGTATCTTATAAACCAGCTAAACAGAAGTCAAAGTTCACACTTTATTATTTAAATGAATAGTTCTGTCTGGGAAGACAGAGGTAATTTATAAAAAATGTCAACCAGCAAGCAAAGCCAAAACATTCAACTCTGGTTTCTCTCAAAAGTTTGAAATCAACTTGGTTATAGTTCTGAAATTCATTACCCCAGAGAAAGGAAGAAATGGACTTGATCTGGTGGATGTGGATGTTTATGGTTGGAATTTTCAAGCATCCTCCTCATGGTAAGAGAACCCAATCCAAGACTGTGTGACACTTGAGGTGAGTGGGGCTGCCTCCTGATGGGCAGGTTGACTTACTGACTGGGGATGATGAAGTTTTGTTCATCTAGATAATGAAGACTGCATATAGGCATTACAAGAATGAGAATGGCTGCTTTTTTGTCTTTATTAGCCGAACAGATTCAGCTGCTTCTGCTACTGCAACAAGATAGCAAGACCATTTCCCTTTTTTTTTTTTTTTTTGACGGAGTCTTGCTCTATCGCCCAGGTTGGAGTGCAGTGGCATGATCTAGGCTCACTGCAACCTCCACCTCCTGGGTTTAAGCAATTCCCCTGCCTCATCCTCCCGAGTAGCTGGGATTATAGGTGCCCGCCACCATGCCTGGCTAAGTTTTGCGTTTTTAGTAGAGCCAGGTTTCACCATGTTGTCCAGGGTGGTCTTGAACTCCTGGCCTCAAGTGATCCACCCACCTAGGCCTCCCAAGGTGCTGGGATTACAGGCATGAGCCACCATGCCCAGCCCATTTACATTTTTGGTGCAAACGATTGTTACCATTACCCCAAGGGAGAGGCAAGAATATCTGGTGTCCAAGTAGGCATAAAATCCGTAGATATATGGCTCTACATGGAATAATGGAAGTAAACAGAAACTCTGGAGAGCAAGGCTTCACACAAGATTAGAGGTTATAAGCCTAGTGCTCCTTTAGAAGAACTGGGGGTTTGGGGGCAGGGGGCGGGCAGGGAAACAGACCTGAATCACAGATTGTACGTTAGTGCTTTGTGAATATTTTCCACTGTATGTGTCTTTTACATCAACAAGTTATTACCCAAAACCTTTTCTTAAGCCACGTGTTGTTTTTATTCAGATAAATTATTCAAGATACATTGTATTTTTAGGAGAGTGGACAGCTTGAGGAATATGTAAGCCTCTCTTTTGGCTCCTCTGTCTTACAGCCTGTTGCTCTAAAGTCTCTTTTACCACATACAACACTCAGAAGACTGTTGTGGACAGCACGTTTAAAAATAATATTACGTAATATTTATAGAGCATTTCTATGTGTCAGACAATTACAGGCATTATTTATGTTCATGGCAATCCTGCAGGAGTATGTAAAGCCTTTTAAAAATACATCTAAAGAAAAATTAAATACCTCTTGTGTACCTGGCAATACATGCTTTATAAATTGTGCTTTGGGTGAAAATTGCTATGACAAGTTAAAATTTATTCACCAGTCCAAAACAGTTGAAGTTGAAAATGAGAATTCTACATATGGCACAAACAGAAAGCAATTTTTAAAAAAACAAACAAACATAATTGTATCCGTTCACTAGGGCTACCATAACAAAGTACTACAAAATCAGCGGCTTAAACAAAAGAAATGTATTGTCTCACACTTCCGTAGACTAGAAGTTTGAAATCACGGTGTTGACAGGGTTGACTCCCTCTGAGGGCTGTGAGGGAAGTCTCTTCCAGACTTCTTTTCTCCATGGCTTCAGGGCCATCTTCTTCCTGTGTCCTCACATCATCTTCGTCTACACAGCGTCTTCGTGTGCAAATTTTCCCTTTTTGTAAAGACACCAGTCATTTTGGATTAACCTTCCGCCCAGTGACCTTATTTTAACTTGATTACCTCTGTAAAGACTTCATCTCTAAAGTCACATTCCGAGCTACAGGGGTTTCAGTTTTGGGTTTTTCTTTCTTTTTGGTTGGGGGAGAACGGGACACAGTTCAACTTACAATAATAACAAATAGAACTAATTATATACCTTTAATTTTTGCCCCCCAAAATTAATTTAAGCCTATGTAACACTGGGGGCTTATTCCTATACTTTTTCCAGTATCCCCTGCAGTCACAGCACTCCACAAAAGTTAGATAATAACAGTAAGTATTGGCCTAGTAAAAGAGATTATGTATAGTGAGGATGCAGTTATTTGGGCATCAACGTTTTTAATAGCTAAAAAATTGTTTAAAACAAACAATTTATTCTTCAAAATAACTTCAATATATTTGTTGAGAAGCTATATTCTAAGTGCAAAGCTTTTGTCATTGTATAATCACTTCATTTGAAAAGTTAAAAATACTCACCAGAGACTGATAATCTCCCTCATAGACTTCCTCAGAGTCAATGTAGAGAGAAAAAAAAAAACTCTATGAGGAGTGTATGATAAGAGAAAGTACTAAGTCGAATTATACCTACTCCATAGCACATGGCTGGTTCTGAGCCTGGTGCGTCATGATACAGAGTAACTAAGGGGCAGCCTCTCTTGTCAGGTCCCACCATGAACTCAGCAGTTTGATTAGCCCTCCTATCCTGTCTGCCTACCCATCGTTTTAGCTCCTTCAAGTCTTCTCCCACAAGAACCACTCTTTCAGGCACATGGCAATGGCATTACTGCAATTCTACTGCTTCTACTAACCAGGGCCTCTGGGAATATCAGGGCTCCATCCTTTATATTTTGGTAATAAAAATAATAACACAAAGAATGAACCCTACTATAAACTATGGAATTTATTTAATAATAATAATGCACCAATATTGACTCATCATTTGTAACAAATGTAGCACACAAGATGCTAATAATAAGGGAAACTGGGGTGGGGGGTTGTATAAGGAAACTATTTGTACTTTCTGCTCATAGTTCCTTAAAACTAAAATTACTCAAAACATAAAGTCTGTTAGTTAAAAAAACACTAAAGAAAGTTATGCTCTGCCTCAAAATTATGTGTCATGTTTCAAGATCTCTGAAAATACTCCTAATGCTAGAGTCCGTTTTATCTTTTGCTATTTCCACCACAGGATTTCAGATTAATGGAAAGAAGGAAGAAAGGAAGGAAGGGAGGAAGGGAGGTTGGGAAAGAAAGAGTGAAGGAAGAGAGAGAGGGAGGAGAGGAGGAGAGAAGAAGGGATAGGAGGGGAAAAAAGGATTAAGGTAGCACTTAGGAGCTCTTCTACAGATTTTGTTTTTCATATGTATCTGAGTGAAGCAATGTCTGTTTGCAGTATCACTCTTGGAGTGGGTAAAACATTTCATTATGAAATAGAAAGGAAAACACTAAGACATTTCTAGAGGTAGTTGTCAAGAGCAGTTTGTTTGAAATCTAATAAGAAGCATATTAAAAGTAATTATTTTAAGCATCTGGAGTTAAGACAGGCAAGTGGTTGAGATTATTATTTCTTTTCTCCAAACTCATAACTATACCAAAAATGGTTGGAGGCAATGTGACTATCTGGATCTTATGGCACTTCTTTGAGATCTTCTTTCTTCTCTCCCTCTCTCTCTCTCACACACACACACACACATACACACACACTTTTATTTTTTTTCTTGGCACTTCCCCTCCATGAACCAATGTTTAAAGAAGGCATTCTAAAGAGACTCCCAGCTGTGGGTTTCAGACTTTATTTTTATGTTGGCTTAGATCCAGGAAATGCAATGCTTTGGCTCACAGTTATGAGAATCATACCTAGTGGTAAAACATAATTCAAAATGCTTTAAATTGTTTTGAGTTCTTTGGATTGTAAACTTTCTCGTTGCTCCCTAAGAGAACTATACATCTAGCTAACTACTACTAATCACTACACAGGCAACAAACATGAAAACATTTGTGTAACACAAATGTGCATCTTGACTCATTTCATAAGATTGTACATTCTTTAGTATTTTCAGATACCTATAAAGATAAAGAAAAAAACATTTATGCTAAAAAGATTTTTTAAAATATATTTTTAAATTTTCAGTCAGTTTGTATGTAAGTAATATAAAAAGATTTCATGATAGATAATCCTAGAGTGCATGGCACAGCAGTCTCTTCTTTTCATTTTACATCAATCTGGATATCTGAATGACGGAAGAGTAAAAAGTATGGCTTTACTTGTAAATTTTAATGATAAAATATCTATTTGAAAAGGAAAGAACTTTGGAAATATGCGTAGCTTGCAACATGAGACTTTCTTTCCTAGTGGCAAGCAAATCAGAAATAATTTCAAAAACTACCCTGGATCTAGGTAGTATCTTGACTACACGCACACATACGCACACACACACACTCACAATCCTAAGAGAACAGGAAGATTCTGTAATGCAGATCACCATTCAGTTGTAGATTCACACATATTGAGTGTATATGGAGTCAGAATCTACAAGGAAGAACACCAAATTTAGATGGAAGCTACTAGGCCACTTGATTGGATATTTACACATTCAAGGCTTAGGTTTTTATTTTATTTCATTAATTTGGCCTATCACCTAAATGCTTACATCATTCAATCTTTAAACAGTGTTGAAATTTAAATTTTGACTTCCCCCAGCATTCTTTGAAAACGACATATAGTGAAGCCTTTAGAAGTCACTTAAGGATCCAATAACCTTGCAAACTTGTAGTGGCTACATAGGCAGCTCCTCTTAGGGGATTGCACTCTGGTCATAGGATGACAACTTCACAGAGGAAAATTGCTGCAAAGGAGAGGCTCATTTTCCTTTCCCACTGCCTGTGATTACTATGCCTGGAGAATCATTTATAAAACTCATATGTGCAAAGTCTATGGGTGATTTATGAATCTGGGGCTGTTGTGCAGCGCCCAGAAATTCATCATTCCTGGATTCATGTTAGCAAGAATGAATTCCAGCCAATGTTCAAAGTCAGAATGCGGCATCCTCCAAGTGGCCTGAGAAGGTTCTGGCCCTCTGGCTGCCATCATCTCTTCACTTTTTATCATAGTCTAATCACACATTCTCTTTTTTCTTCCCTTAGGATTGAAAGAAAATGTACTCCGTAGAATAATAATAATAAAAAAAAAATCTTAGCCACCAGGTTCTGCTTTTCCACCTCTTCATTTTTTGCTCATATTTGCATTCCTCTTCCACTGTCTCTTTATCTTTATATCTTCTATTCTCTGTTTTTATAATTACTTACTTCCTTAGTTCTCTCTAGATTCCTCCAGATACCCTTGTTTCTATTTCCTTAGAATTCTGAGTCTTACCCTGCTTTATATGTTCTCTTAATTTCTGTCTTCATAGATTTCTCATCTTTCATTTATTTCCATAATTCTCATTCTTTCCTGTTTACATTCTTTCAAATACTTGCCCTTTCTTTTTCCCTGTTTTATTTCTCCCATCTGTTTTATATTTCCAAAGAAAACCCAGTCTTTCTAGCAACTGACTGTGATCCTGGAGATTTTTGAAATAATTCAGAATGTTTTTACCTAATTCTTCTTCCTTGGCAGATACACCAAATAGGATATTCAGTTCGGCCTTTTAGTCCAGGGAATTGGAATGTACACTTTCTTTAATAAATTTACATATTGAATGTAAGAGGTCTCAGCAAATTTATAGAATATAAAATAAATACTAACTGTATAAATTATTTAAAAACCATGAAGCAAAATCTAAATATTCAGTGAAGGTAAGAATGGGCTTGAATATGGAGAAAACCATGCCAGAATTCTAAATATGCACCTAACTCAGGAAAAACAGGTTTTAAGTGAGGACACTATAAAGACTCCTTTTCTCTTATCTCCTTTGTTTCACCAATAGAACGTCAATGAGCTGTGTGTGTATGTGTGTGTGTGTGTGTGTGTTAGTGCATGTGTGTATGTTTTCAGGGATGGGGTGGGGTACAGAAAGTACCTGATTCTTTTGGATCTATGTCCTAAAACAAAAATTTGTTCCTTGAAATTGAACTCTTAGCATTTCAGTCCACATTTGTGCACAAAATAGCATAGCAACCCTGTTCTGAAACCCAAGCTTAAGATCTGTTGAGCACTTATTTAGGGAAGAAGTTGATGCTCTTCTTCAACTTCTTTGTGAAGGATTGATGAAGTTGATGTAGGATTAGGGGAAGTTCTGTGAAAGAATGCTGTGGAAATGGAAAACTGCTTCTCCATTCAGGATATTTTAACTCTGGCACTGAATTTACTTAGGTCATTCAAAAACTCAGAAACCTTTCTCCTTGGAAGGCAGCTTAGCAAACATGCCCACTACAGAGTCACATCATCTTCACATTCCCAAACATAAGTGGATTTTCTAACTCTTCCTTCAAGCCATATCTAGGACTCCTTCTGAGAGTTTTTGGCAAATTACCATTTCTCTCTGTGATAGGCATAATAATGGCCCTTCCAATGTGTCTACATCCTAATTCCTGGAACCTGTGAATACGTTCTCTTACATGGCAAAGGAGAATTTAGGTAGCAGATGGAATTTTTTGTTGCTAATCAGCTGATCTTAAAATGGGGAGATTATCCTGCATTATGGCTTATCTATGTAGGCCTAGTATAGTCACGAGAATCCTTGAAAGTGGAAGAGGGTGGCAGAAGAGGAAGTGAGATGATGTAATGCAATATGAGAAGGACCCAAGTGGCCATTGCTGACTTCTATGCATTACATGTGTCCCCAAAAAGAAATGTTCAAGTCCTCATCTCCGGTACCTCTGGATAAAGCCTTGTTGAAAATAGGCCCTTTTAAAAGGTAATGAAGTTAAAATTAGGTTACTAGGGTGGGTCTTCCTCTAACATGACTGGTGTCCATAGAAAAAGGGGAAACTGGGACACAAAGAGACATGCACAGAGGGAGGACGATGTGGAGAGACACAGGGAGAACACCACGTGAAGATGGAGAATTGGAGTGATGCATCTGAAAGCCAGAGAATACCAAAGATACCTGCAAACTCCCAGAAGCTAGGAGAGAGGCATGAATAGATTCCCCCTCTCAGCCCTCAGAAAGAGCCAACCCTGCCAACACCTTGATGTCAGACCTCTGGCCTACAGGAGTATCAGACCATAAATTCCTGTTATTTTCAGCCATCCATTCTGTGGTCCTTTGTTACAGCAGCTCTAGGAAATGAGTGCGTGGCTTTCCAGATGGAACAAACCACAAATGAATGTGAGCAGCCTCCAGAAGCTGGAAAAGGAAAGAAAATGGATTCTTCCCTGTAGTCTGCAGAAAGAAATGCAGCATTTCTGACACTTTGATTTTTGCCTGATGTTATGGACTAAATATTTGTGTCCCTCTTAAATTTAACATGTTGACGTCCTAACTATTAATGTGACTGTATTTGGAAATAGGACCTGTTAGTAGGTAATAAAGGTTAAATGAGCTGACAAGCATGGGGCTCTAATTCTATAGGGCTAGTGACTTTATAAGAGGAGAAAGAGACACCAGAGCATTCTCTCTCTCTCTCTACCATGTGAGGACACAATGAGAAGATGGCCATCTGCAAGCCAAGTAGAGAGCCCTCACCTGAAACTGAACTGACCACAACTTTGCTTTTGGACTTTCCAGCCTCTAGAATTGTAAGAAAAATAAATTCCTGTTTAAACTGCATGGTCTGTGGTATTTTATTATGACATCTCTAGTAGACTAAGACACCTAGTGAGACCCACATTGAACTTCTGACCTCCAAAACCATAAGATAATATATTTGTGTTGCTTAAGCACTAAATTTGTAATAATTTGTTACAGCAGCAATGGGAAGCTAATACATTCTCCATCATTAAATCATTAGATTTCCGGTGATGTCTTAGCAATGATATAGATTGTTGCCATGACATAGTATTTCTTTCTTTCTTTCTTTCTTTTTTTATTTTATTTATTTATTTTTTTTTTTTTTTGAGATGGAGTTTTGCTCTTTGTTGCCCAGGGTGGAGTGCAATGGCACGATCTCAGCTCACTGCAACCTCCGCCTCCCGGGTTCAAGTGATTCTCCTGCCTCAGCCTCCGAAGGAGCTGGGATTACAGGCATGTGCCACCATGCCTGGCTAATTTTGTATTTTTAGTAGAGACAGGTTTTCGCCATGTTGGTCAGGCTGGTCTCGAACTCCTGACTTCAGCTGATCCACCTGCCTCGGCCTCCCAAAGTGCTGGGATTACAGGCATGAGCCAATGCACCCGGCCGGCATACTATTTCTTAATTCATCTTTTACTTATCTTAACCTAAAGCACACTCTAACTGGAGCATTCATGTAGACCTCAGATAAGAAATGCAGCAAGAGGAGTGATACAAGGTCAACAATTACAAACAGTACTATTCAGTTAAAGGAATAGCACTGCACAAACATTATTGCCTTCATTGTGCAGGTTTTGGCTTTACTCATCTCACTAAAAAAAAAAAAACTTTTAAAAAGCAAATATGAAATAGTTTTTCTTACTAGAAGAACCTGTTGATTTGGCAACTCTTAAATTCTATGAATATTATGTTTCATAGAAAAATGTCCAATGATATGGTAGATTATTGCTATTTGTGGAAAATTTCACACCTATAATTGTATCCGAAGGCTATAATTTTTTTTTCCTGCTGCCCATGAAGCTTGCATCAAGCATAGAATTAGTATTTAGAAGAAGATCAAGGTAGAAAATATACCTTGACAGAGACTTGGAAAAATTACCAAAGGTCTAAAATGATGTGAACTAAGGTAACATTTTAAGGATAAGCAACAGGTTTTGAGTATTCAGTAAACCCAAAGCTATAAACTCCTGGAATCAAACAATTTGTAGGCTCAGGAAGTTTTTAAATTAGATCTCCTTGGACTTCTAGTTCTGCTATGTAATAGCTGAGTAGCCTTGAGCAAATACTTTAACTCTTCTTCTTTGAACATTAATATCTTAAAACTTTCTAAATCATATAACTTAACTCTTCATCTTCATATTTTAAAATCCTTAAACTTATATAAAGGTTGTTTTAATTATGTTGCTTAGTTTATTAATGTAAAGTATTTTACACTGTGCTAGAACATAATGAGCTCTTTATTTCTTGTCTACTATTATTTTATATTCTCAGTAGGTTGTGTCAGTTAACTTTTACTGTATAACAAATCACCCCAAAATATACTGGCTTAAAATAATTTTTATTTTTTTCAGTTTACTATTTTGAAGGCCTGGGTGGTTGTTTTTATATGAGCTAGTTCTGCTGATTCTGCAGGGCTTGTGCCTATTGTCAGCAGGAAGTTCAATGGTCTGAGGGACCTAGAATAACTTCATTCTCATGTCTGACAGGCTGTGGGTCAGAGCAGTAGGGATGGTTGAAGCAGTGGCTTATTATCTAGCAGGGTGGCCTGGGTTTCATCATATGGTCGTCAATTGTGAGGTTCCCAAGAGTAGCAGAGTAGCAAGAAGGCCAATTTTCTTGTACTTGTGTTTTTCACACCTCTGATAACATCATGCTTGGTAATATCCCACTGGCTAAGTCAATGCTAGCCTAAAGTCAGTATGGGTGGGTGCTATCAAGAGTCATGGATGGGACTGTAATTTGTGGCCATTTTTGCAATCAACTGTGTAGACTATCCCAAGTTTGGGATCCACAAAGACATACTATATTACATAACATCATCCTTGAGATGTCTCACATGCTCGCTAACTTAATACATAATATCTACAGTTGCTATCAAAGTCTAAATACATAATATCTAAAGGTGCTATCAAAGATCATGGATGGGACTGTAATTTGTGGCCATTTGCACAATTGGCTATGAAATTATCCCAAGTTTGAGATCCACAAATACATACTATATTACTTAACATCACCCTTGAGATATTCCACATGCTTGCTAACTTAATACATAATATCTAAAGTTCAACCTTCTCATTCTCTAGGGTTTTAAAACTTAGCAATTGAAACTATTTTCCAATGAGTTGCTTGTGCTATAATTCTGGAAGTTGTCTCTAAGGATTTCTTTCCCTTTCTTCAATATCCATTCAGTTCCCAATTTCTTTAAGTTGTGTCTTTACAAATCTTTTTAATCCATCCACTTTATTCATCCCCCAGGCAACTACCCCAGTTCACATCCTCATCAACTCTTGCTTGGAGATGTAACTTGCCAAATGTAATAGCTGCCTAAATTGACTACCTGCATCCTTTTTTTTTTTTCTATTCACTCTCTTCTTCAGAGTACATTTCTATACTTTATAAAATGCAAATATGATTATGTCACATCGCTACTGAAAAACCTATACTGTGCTAAAGGGTTTGAAAAACTGAGGAGTTATATGAAGAAAATAGAAACATGAAGATTAATTTTTCAAGAAGGTAGTGTGTGTGTATTTTGGATGAGAAGACTATGTATATTTAAGTAGAAATCGCCAGAAATTAGGAGCAGGGAGAATCAAGGGAACAAAGACTAGGAGAAGGCAGAAGAGATGGAATCCGAGCCTAAGTCTGGGGTGAGAGGACATTGGCTGGTCAGTGCATTTGGATTTTATTCAGTAGACATCTAATACACAATGCCTGGTATATAGTGTGCAATTAAACATTTGTTGAATAAACAGATGAATAAACTAGCAAAGGTTCTGATGAGGAAAATGACATAATATTATCCATTTTTCAAAAATAAGTCTGGCTTAAGTAAAAATATATTGGAAAAGTGACAAAATTGAGTCAGATAAAATATTTGGGCAGTAAGTGCATTATTTTATATGCACAGTAACAAGGGCCTGGACTAGGACTAAAGAAGGAGAAAGAAATGGTAGTATCAGGGAAACACTTTTTGGAGAAATGATGAACTGGAAGGTTTTGCGATCACATGAATAAGAAGCAAGATAGAGAGGTGTGAGTTGCACTCAGGCTGCAAAGTTTCTAGACCAATAGTCTGTGAATATTACTCAAAAGAGGAAGAAACACATTTGAGGGTTGATGAGAGCAAGATGATAAACTCAGTATTAGACCTATGGGGTTGGTAACCAGAGCAAGGCTTCATGTTCTGTTAATTAGGAAACAGCTGAAATAAGTTTTCCTTGTTGTCATGTTCTTCATTTTCTCATTCTGAGAATGTCTTTGCTCTACTCCAATCATTCATCTATTATTCAATGTTTAGAAGATGTCTTAGATTGTTTTCTCGAATCTTCCTAGTCAGGTGTAAGCATTCTTTCCAATTCTCTTTGACAGTGCTGTCTGTCCCTTTTTAAAAGCCATTACTTCACAATCTCTTACATTATAGTGAGTTTACACATCTATCTCATTATTTTGGAAACTGCTTAGAATGAGTGATGAGAGCTAGAAAGTCATCTTTTATTTACCTTTTTGTTTTTATAATACTTCCACATATATCTCAATGTTTGAAGTAGAGGACAGATTTAATAAAAGCTTACTAAAGCTTTCAGAAGCAAAGCTCTGAATTTGAAAACAGAAAAAATAAATTTCATCCAATCTAAACAACAGAGAACATAGGCTGGAAAAATATGAACAGATCTTTGGGGACCTGTGAGACAATAACAAAGCACTGACCATTCTTATCCTTGGAATCCCAGTGAGAGGAGAAAAACAGAAGGGATAAAAAGTTTTTGAAAGAAAATAAAGACTGAAATTTCTCAAATTTGGCCAAAGACACAAACTAATAGATTCATAAAGCTGATGACATCCATGCCAATACAAAAAAAATTAAGCTTCTCAAACTAAAGAAAAAGAAAAGATCTTGAAAGAAGCCAAAAAGAAATATCACATTATCTGAATCCATGGTAGACATAAAAGGAAGTAACACAATATTGTAAATGTTAAAGAAATTCAACCACAAATTCTATATCCACGAAAACTATCTTCCAGTAGTAAAAGGGTAGTAAAGACATTCTCAGACAAAGGAAAACTAAATGCATTTCTCACTAGTAGATTTGTCTTTAAGATTGGCTAAAAGGGCTAGTGCTGTGATACAAAATACAGTTGGTCTCAGGTTCTATGTATCAGCCTGCTTTAAGATTTCCTGTTTTATGAGTGGAGGCTCTATTTAGATAATTTCAGTGAAACCAGATGAAGTAAAATGGCACAACCATTCACAGGGTTCTACGAGGCACAAAATGGGAAAGGCATTAGGCCCAGGAGTTAGTGCCTGGAAGAAATGGTTTTCAAGTGAAACTACGTGCAAAATGGGGAGGGAAAAATAAGCAAGAGCAAGTAAGAGAAAGGTTCTGGGGAAGGGTAGGCAAGGACATAGCACAGGCTAATCTGTGTGGCGGTGCTTAGGGAAGCAACATGGAGGTTGTTAGAGAAAATTTTTTTACAATAAAAGGATATAAAGGAAGAATTTCATTGTAGATCCTCTGTGAAAGAACCAGAGTCTCAGTCGGGTGTGGTAGTGTGCACCTGTAGTCCTGGCACTTGAGAGGCTGAGGCAGGAGAATCAGTGGAGCCAGAGTTTGAGGCTGCAGTGAACTATGATTGTGCCACTGCACTCCAGCTGAGGCAACAGGGTAAAATCCTGACTGAAAAAAAAAACAACCAGAGTCTCAACAAATCACTTATTGGAAATGCAGACTATAGGGGCTGATTGACTTTAATGGAAAGAGAAGACACTTGGTTTGTGAAGCTATTGTACTTGGTAACAAAAAAGATAAAAACACCAAAAAATACCCATTGGGTACCTGTAATTTTCTGCAATGGAAAAATTCAGAATTTCTTTCTGAAACAGCCATATGGATTCTCTTTCCTTTTTAACATTCAAATGACATACACATTTTGAAGCTTCAAGAAAAAGTAAATTGAATGAATAGTTTATGATAAAGTTGCTTTCCATGAGTGTCACCAGAAGATTTGTATTTCTTCTTTGTTTGGGGAAAAAACATTAATGTTTTATAGCAAAACTTTTTTGCAGTTTAGCTACCAGAGGAATTTTATATTTTATACTCAAAATGCAATACAGTTTATAAAATCTTTTTTTATGTGGGAACATTTGCCATCAAACTAGATATGTATCTGTCTGATATGTACAATAAAATATAATGAAAATATGGTTTATAGAATTGCTTGTATATAATTTGTGGTACTTGAATAGGCAACAGTGCCCACCAAGTGCTTTTTGAATCACAGTACATAAAATGCCTTCCCACAAAGGCCCAAAGTAAGCAGACCAGTAGTCAAGAGCATTCATAGTTTTGTCGAGATCATGTAAGTTTTGTTTGGGAGAAAGAAATGCCTTTGTCTTTTAGCTGTTCTTTTGAAATATGTCTCATCTCTATTCCTTTTACATTGCTATTACTAAAAATCACAGTTTATTCTCTCTCTTCTCTAGTTTATTCTCTCTCTTCCTGTCTCTCTCTCTCTCTCTCTCTCAGCTGAGCAGCTGGTCACTGAATTTTGATTTCCTCTATGTTCTGAATCTACTCATTTATCTTACTTTGAACTGCCCTAGTTGAGCAACCACCATTTCTCACCTAACTATCTTGGTATATTCCTGTATGACCTCTGGATCTCTTGTATTATTCCATCAAACCATCCTTCACAGAACTAAAAAAGTAAGCGATCTTTCTAAAACATTCATCTCATCAACTGTTCCCTCTGCTTAAAAGCCTTCAGTGGTTCACAATTACTTTTGATAATGACATCTCATGGCTTGGCACTATGCTTTTACAGGGTGACTCCTGACCATCTTTCTAAGGTTTTCTGCTGCTGGTCTTTCCCTCAAATCCCATGTTCTTCCACACTGAACTACTTGCAGTTTTATAATTGGCTTCTGCTTCTTTATCCCACTCTGTCTTTGCACTGACCCTCCCTCTTGCTTCCTTCTTTTGTAGTACTGATAGACTCTTATTCATGTTTTTAAGATCCAGCATATTAATTTGTTTGGGCTGTCGTAACAAAGTACCACAAGATGAATGGCTTAAACAACAGGTATTTATTGCCGCATAGTTGTGGAAGATAGAAGTCTGAGATCAAGGTGTTAGCAGGGTCTATTCCTTCTTCAGGCTGTGAGGCAGAATCTGTTCCATGCCACCTCCCTGGCTTCTGGTGGTTTCTGGCAATCTTTGGC
Organism: Homo sapiens; assembly: GCF_000001405.40. Classification (NCBI taxonomy): domain Eukaryota; kingdom Metazoa; phylum Chordata; class Mammalia; order Primates; family Hominidae; genus Homo; species Homo sapiens. The sequence continues at coordinate 76,321,797 of NC_000013.11, read as the reverse complement.
ATATAGAAATACCACCCTGATATCTGCCTTCATCTTCACATTGTGTGGTCCCTGTGTGGGTGTCTGTGTCCAAATTTCTTTTTGTCTAAGGACACCAGCCATATTTACTTAGGATGATCCCACCGTAATGATCCCATTTTAACTTGATTATCTGTGTAAGGTACTATCTCCAAATGAGGTCACATTCTAAGGTACTGGGGGTTAGTTCAACATATGAACTGTGGGGAGACACAATTCAACCCATAACACTCAGTTCAAATGAAACCTCTGTGACATCTCCTATAATCTATAATAGTTTTCTCACATAATCTCCTCATTATGTCTTTTGTGTATCCATGATACTTCTAAAACTCTTTAAATAACACTTATTACTGCGAATCATAATCGCTGGTTTACCCATTTTGTGCATCAGTGTCTACTATTGTATACTGAAATTGCTAGTTTTTCCTAATATATTGGGAATATATGCATGCTACCCAAAACAATATACAGATTCAGTGCAATCCCTACCAAAATTCCAAGGCATTTTCATAGATATAAAAAGAATCTAAAATTTCTATGGAATCACAAAAGACACTGAGTAGCCAAAACAATCTTGAGAAAGAAAAACAATGTTGGAGACATCACACTTCCTGATGTCAAATTATATCATAAAGCAACAGTAATTAGAACAGTATGGTGCTGGCATAAAAACAAACACATAGACCAACAGAACAGAATAAAGAGCCCAGAAATAATTCCAAGCATATGCATTTAACTAATTTTTGATGAGGCCACCAAGAATGATTGAAGAAATGATTACTGTAGCAATCATTTCACTATGCATATATGTATATCAAAATGTTACATTGTAGTAGCACAGAATATATGATATATAATATATATGATATATATAATATACCATATATAATGCAATAGGGAAAGGATGGTCTCTTCAATAAACAGTGTAGGGAAAACTGGATATTCACATTCAAAGAATGAAAATGAACCCTTATACCACATGAAAAAAATCAACTCAGAATGGATTAAAGACCTAAACATAAGCCTTGAAACCATAAAACTCTTAGAAAACAGGGGAAAAGCTCCTTGACATTAGTCTTGAATTTTGGTTAAAAGACTTTTGGATATCTTACTAACAGCACAGGCAACAAAAGCAAAATAAAAAAATGGGATTTTATCAAACTAAAAAACTGCTGCACAGTAAAGAAAACAATAAAATAAAAGGCAGCCAATGGGTTGAGGGACGATATTTGCAAACCATATATTATATGAGGTTAATATCTAAAATATATAAGGAACACACCTAACTCAATAGCAAAAAAAAAAAAGAAGTAACCTGATTAAAAATGTGCAAAGAACCTAAATAGACATTCTCAAAATAAGACATAAAAATGGGTAACAGGTATATAAAAACATCAATATCATTAATTATCAGGGAAATGCAAATCAAAATCATAATGAGATATTACCTCACATGTGTTAGGAGGACTATTAGCAAAAAGAAAAGAGATAACAATTACTGGTGAGAGTTATGAGAAAAGGGAAACCTGTATATTCCTGGTGAAAATGTAGATCAGTGCAGCCTTTGGGGAAAATGATATGGAGGTTCCTAAAGAAATTAAAAATAGAACAACCATGTGAACCAGCAACCCCACTTCTGGGTATATGCCCAAAGGAAATGAACTCACCACCTCATAGAGATATGTGTGCTCCATGTTTATTGCAGCCTTATTCACAATAGCCAAGATATGGAAACAATTTAAGTATCCAACTGCAGATGAATGGAAAAAGAAATTGTGGAGGATATACATAATTAATATTCAGTCTTAAAAAAGGAGATGCTTCCATCCCATTTGACCATTTGAGAAAACATGAATGAACCTGGAGGACATCATGCTAAGTGAAATATGCCAACACAGAAAAATACTGCATTTCACACTTATATGTGAAATCTAAAAAAAAAAAAAAAAAAAACCTTTGAATATATAGAAACAAAGACTAGAATGCTGATTACTTACTAGGGGTTGGAGTGGTGAGGGAAATGGGGAAACAAAGTCCAAAGTTACAGTTATATAGAATGAATAAGTCTAGATCTCTAATGTGCAACATAAGGATTATGGTTAATAATATTCTACGGTATCCTAGCAATTTGCCAAGAGACTAGCATTTAAGTACTTTTACCATTAAAAAAGGTACATATGTGAGATAATGGATACGTTAATTTGTATAACTGTAGTAATCATTTAACTATGCATATATGTATATCAAAATGTCACATTGTAGTAGCACAGAATATATGATATATATGATATATAATATACCATATATAATTGTATATGGATATATAATTATATATGATATATAATATATCATATATACAATTATATATGATATATAATATATCATATATACAATTATATATGGTATATAATACACCATATATACCATATATAATTATATATGATATATAACATGACATAATTATATATGATATATACCATATAATTATATATGATATATAATCATATATAATATACTCATATATGATATATAATTATATATCATATATTATATGTGATATACTATATATCTTATATATAATTATATATAAGATAGATCATATATCATATCATATATAATATATATGGGATATGATATATGATGATATGATATATGAGATATGATATATGATATGATATATGAGATATGATATATTATATGATATATATCTCATATATGATATATGATATCTCATATATGATATACGATATATGATATCTCATATATGATATACGATATATGATATCTCATATATGATATACGATATATGATATCTCATATATGATATACGATATATGATATCTCATATATGATATACGATATATGATATCTCATATATGATATACGATATATGATATCTCATATATGATATATGATATCTCATATATGATATCTCTTATATGATATATCATAATGATATATGATATATATGATATGATATATGATATCTCATATATGATATATCATGATATATGATATATATGATATGATATATGATCTCTCATATATGATATGAGATATCATATATGATATCATATATGAGATATCATATATGATATATGATATATGAGATATCATATATGATATATGATATATGAGATATCACATATATCATATATGATATGATATATCACATATATCATATCATTATATATCATATATATCATATATCATATATTCTGTGCTACTACAGCATGACATTTTGATATATGTTGTATATCATATATCAAAATGTTATATATGATATATGATATATTAATTATATATTATATAGTATATATTTATATGATATATATTAATTATATATAATTATACTTGATATATATTAATTATATATGATATATTATCATATTATTTTATATATTATATATTATATGTATATGATAGAAAGAAGAAGACATCTTCATTTCTTTCTTTTTATCCCCAGAACTTATCATAGTATCTAGGTATATATTAGTTGTGCAATAAACATTTATTGGAAGCATGAATGAATGAATAAGTAAACTGGTATATTGTAATCTCAAGTTCAGAGAAAAATCTTAATTTCTAAAATGTAAAATGTTTAAAATGAGTCATTACATTTAAAATAGTAAATCTCAAAAGCATTCTAATTATTAAAATTCTTTCATGAAATTAATGGATATGGTTTCTTAAATTTCACAGGTAAAAGTTATGACTGATTGAAATATACACTTTACTCAACAAAACTTTTCAGTCAACTTTATGTTTTGAAATCCTTGATTAAACTTAGGCCTCTAGATAAAAGCTGCCCGTCAATGACAAATTTATATGGTGTTTTCTACTTTCTAAAGTACTATTCTCCTGGATGATATCCTCTGTAATCCTCAGAACATCTTCCCTTGATATTATTTTTCTGTGGTCAAGATAAGGAAATTGAAATTTTGGGATGTTTTTGAATTTTCTTACAACTAAGATATATATCTTCTATCTTTTCTTCATATAAAATTATAATCACAAGAACAGATATTCATAATACCTTTTCTACCAATAATAAGCTGTATCTTTTCATAACCTTTCAAATAAAATTTATATTAAGTAAACGTGTGTATAATCAACTATACTCAAAAATTGTCTAATTTCACAAGCTAAGAAACTAAAAATGTACTTAACTTTTCTCTTTAAAATGTATTTGCTTCATGAAACTTAGGCCTTTATATTTTTTAGAACATAGATCTAAGGGTAGCAATAGAATAAGTGATAATACAAGTGGTGTTTTCATAAAGGGTGAGTGAAAGTGATCATTAACAGCCTGGTCTAGATCAGGAAGACTGTGGCAGAAATATGAAAGGAACCAGAGGCAGTTTAGATGAGATTAAAATGATTTGACCAAGAATATAATCTATTTGGGTGTGTTTTCCTATGAGCAGTTTCTTCCATTACAGGAGGGAAAATAAAAGAGAAATTAAAAGCTTGGAATCTCTGTTATCTGTAAACCTTTAAGGTTCTGTTTACCTAATTCCATTATAATGAAACATAAACTATGAGGGTCTGGCCATGACATTGGGCAGATGCAGTCATCATCTGGGTTCCAACTGCTGGGAAAATCTCCACCAGAAACTTCCCAAGTTCACTCACAAGATGATAATTCTCTCCCTAGGGCAATCAACACTTCTAAATAACAAATCAAGAAAAGATGAAGTGTTTTACAAGGTTAGTTCAGCACAGTTCTCACAGACTTGAAACAGAGAAACATGGGCTATATTTGGAGCCTAAGGTCTGGGTCCATCTTATTATTTTCATTGTTCCCTTAATTTTATTAGCACTGAAGCACCTCTTTAAATCACAACCAGCTATGTTCATAAATTTCTTCTGTCTTTCCAATCCCCCACAATGTCAACCACGTAGAAAAGGCTTGATGAATAAATATTGATGAGTGGATATGTTTAGGGTTTTTATATTTCACCATTTAATGTGTATCATAAAATGATCATAGATTCCAAAGCACTTTCAAGTAATTTATCACATTTAAACCTTGTAACAATGGGTTGAGGTAGTTATTATTAAATGAATTGTTTAAAAAGGCATCATGGTATCTGGCTCATTGGCCATCTTGAAAACAAATGGTAGAGTCACCATCAAGGAGTCAAGCCTCTGCCTGTCAGACTGACCAGAGGGGACTATAAGGTTTATATTTCATAAAGAACAGGGTTGGCTTCCTGCATGGAGTCTTAGTCATTAGGTGAGGAGGTGCTGGATGAAAATGCCTTAGTCCACTTCTTTCTATTTCTATTACTATGTGTACTATTCAAAACACCGTTACCTAGTTTTAAATATATATACACACATATATTTAAATATATATAACTATACTATATATAATATATAACTATACTATATATAATATATATTTTATATAACATTATATATATATGTAACCAGGTAATTTTATATATATATATTTTATATATATATAAATATATATATACACACACACATACACACATACACACATAACCATGTAATTATATTGATTGATACATCATATTTGAACATATTTATGGGGGTAATGTGATATCCTGTTACACGCATAGAATGTGTCATGATTAAGCAAGGGAATTTAGGGTATCCAACACCTGGAGTGTTTATTATTTCTGTGTGTTGGGAATATTTCTAGTCCTCACTTCTAACTATTTTGAAGCATTCAATACTTTGCAATTAACTATAGTCACCCTTCCCTGCTTTCAGATTTTAGAAATTATTCCTTCTATCTAACTTACGTTTGAAGTGATTTTACCACCTGCCTAACTAGCCTCCCTTGACTTACAAATGTGTTTTTTACAGTGCTTCTAAGAATGACCATTCAAAAATGCAAATCAGATTTTGTCACTGCCGTTTTTGGAGTTAAAGGCTTTCCATTGCTCTTAGAATAAAGATCACAGTTCTTGAGTTGCAGCACTCTGCATGTTTAAGCTTCACCCTCCTTATCCATCACCATGCCTTCTCTCCTCCAAGGTCTCTACACTAACCTATAGTGTATTTAACTTTGTTAAATTGCTTGACCCTGCTAAGCTCTCTCCTATCTTGTGCTCTCCTGCATCCTGATGTGTCTTCGCAACCCTCTGCTCTGACCCTGCCAAGCTAGCTAAGGTCTCAGCTCAAAGTCATTTCCTTCAGAGCCTTCTCTCTCTTCCCAGTCTGGGTTAGGTCTTCCAGATTAATTTAAGGCATCCTCTCTGGTAACACTGACCACATTTATATTTGTCTGTTTAATGTTTTTCATCTCCATTCCCAGCCTCACCCCTTTTCTATTCATCAATAAATCCCCAGTATCAATCATGTGCATAGTACTGAGTAGATGATCAATAAACATTTGTTTACTTAAAATGATCAATCAATACATTTCCACCTGGAAGCCTAAGTAATCATTCTAGAAAACATTTCTGGCCAGGCGCGGTGGCTCACGCCTGTAATCCCAGCACTTTGAAAGGCTTAGGCGGGTGGATCACTTGAGATCAGGAGTTCGAGACCAGCCTGGCCAACATGGCACAACCCCATCTCTACTAAAAACACAAAAATTAGCTGGTGTGGTGGTGCATGTCTGTAATCCCAGCTACTTGGGAGGCTGAGGCAGGAGAATTGCTTGAACCTGGAAGGCGGAGGTTGCAGTGAGTCCAGATCGTGCCACTGCACTCCAGCCTGGGCATCAGAGCAAGCGAGACTCTGTCTCAAAATAAATAAATAAATAAATAAATAAATAACGCATTTCTGATTCATGTGACTCTGCTGCTCTCTTTGATGGCTTTTCCACAGCTCTCCGGATGAAGTCCAAACTCCTAAGCCTGGTATACTACACCTTGCTAGTTCCCACCCCAAGTTTTTTTTTTTGTTTTTTTTTTTTTGTTTTTTGCTTGTGTTTTTTTCACCCTTCTTTCCTCCACTGTCCTTCCACTGTGTTTCTGCAATCTGGAACTGAGACAGGCAACTATAAAGGGGGAAGGTCCTTAGAGAACCTCCAACCGGCTTATGCACTGGGAGGCCTGTGCACCAGGGTGGAGCCATGGAAGCTCAGGCTATTTTCAGTGGGGAGGAGCCTGGCCTCTCCTGTTCCTGGGTGATAACCGGGGATTCGGTCTGTGAGGCAAAAAGCCAGCTAGCAGGACTCTCACTTTGCTGAGAGTCCCATTTTCTCCTTTTTTCCTTTTTTCACCCAATAAACCCTGTCCTTCTCACCTTTCGAAGTGTCTGCAAACTTAATTGTTCCTTGTCGTGTGACAAGAACCGGTTTTTCCTACAGCAGAATTCTCTTCAGTAATTTTTCTCTTTTGCCTTAGATATTTCCATATTCTGAGACTTTTTCTGATGCCCTTTTCCCTCTCTGCCCATATTCATTACTTACTTAAAATGCCATGAGGACTCAGTTTAAGAGAATGCTATTTCTGACACTTAATTTTTGAGAAAAATAACTGAAATATTTATTAGATTTTGAAAGTGACAACACCATGCCAATATGTCATGATCACTTATACACAATTATAATATATAATGATAATGAAAATTACCTGGAATGAAAATGTATTTGGAGCACTAAGCTTAATGCTTTGCACAAAAACATGTTTTGAAATTAGGTTGATTTGATGCACTTCCACACAATGTTCAGAAAAGAGTAAGTATAATTTGTAAAATCTTATTCAAATCTCATCAAGTGAATAATAAATTGCTCTTGTTAAGACAAAATAGAGACCATAACATTAGAAGATTCTTGTGAATCTTTCCAGCTGAGAGCTGACAGACCAATGGTGAGATCTCACTAACTTTTCCTGACTCCTTGAATACGAACATTGATAACATCTTGTTTATTAAGGTTCACATGCCTTAAGATTCTTAGTTTTTTCAATGACATTCTCTAATAATTGTGTACTATTCCTGGCAATATAAGTGAAGCACCTTTTTCACTGAGTGACTCTTTGTAAATGTTTTATATTTTGCAGCAGTTTGACTTTACTGAGGGTAATATAAAACATTTAATGGAAGCATTTGGGAAGCTTAAGTATGTGTAGTTTAGGGAAGAGGTATTTGAGAGATAGCAATAATAATAGCAGTATGAATTAGTGTATGGTGAACAGTGGAACAGATGGGAAATAATTTGATATTTTAAAAATGAAATTTTCCCCAGATTCAAGCAATTATACACATTAATTGTAAACAATACAGACAAATCTGTGAGGAATTGAAGCCTCTAATAATGCTACCATGTAGAGGTAACTGAATAGAACATCGAGTTTGCTGTGTTCTATTATTTTCATATATTATATATATATATATATATATAAATTTCAGAAGTATAATATTTGATTTATAGTTTTGAAACCTTTTTTCTTAAGTGGCATTATCTCCTAGGCATTTTTTCTTGTTATCTTTTGGAAATACATACACCCATAAAGCATATTTTTCTTTATTTTCTTCCTAAAACAAATATGATTTTAATGGTACCATAATGTTATGATTAATTTATTGACTACTTTTCTAATCTTTGGATACTTCAGAAATTTCTTATATTCTAACATTATTAATAGCAGGCATCATTGCTGAAAAATAATTGTTTACATGCTTGATTATTTGATTAGCATGGGTTCTTAGAAATGTAGTTACTAGATCACAAATTATGCATATTTTAAATGCTTTTGAGATTACTTTCAAATTGCTTTCCCTAATGATGTACAGAATACACCTTAATCATTTGTTTATGAGAATGCCATTTCAACTTACACTTACCAATATTGGCTACTATTTCAAAACATCATGCCAACTTCTACTTTGAAAGGTAGACCTTGGATTTAAAATAGAACAAAACAAGGGAAAGTATATCATTCATACATATTTGAAAAGGTTACCTGAGCATAATGGCCACACTATTTCTTCACATATACAATCTTCTTTTTAAAATATCCTTCAGAAAAATCACTCTGTGCTAAATCAAACAAGAGCTGCCCTACTTACAGATAATATATATAGTCATACACACACACACACACACACACACACACGTGTGCATTTTATCCCTGGTGCAGTTGTGTGAATTCAAATATAGTGAGAACATCAGCTATCAAAAAAATATCTTTTTTGCAGTCTATATTTTCCACTGTAAGAACTGGTTACTACTCTAGTATGACTGTCTTGTTATTGGAAGAAAGCAGAAAATATGGAATTTTGAGTTTTATGTGCTCACAAAGGGGAAAAGCAAGTGAAGCCACTCATGAACTACTCCCATTACTCCTCAGCCTGTCTGATAACAGAATCAATACTTTTCCTCTCCAAATCAATCACTGAAGATAAAAATGAAGGCATTGTAGTCTGTGTTCTGGCAATTCTATTAAAGATACCAAATGATGAGGCATTCATCACATTAGCAAGTACTTTTACCTAAATAGAGGGTGACTAAATATGAGTCCTTCATTTAGAGATTTTTGTAGGAAATAGAAAAATAAATGCTATTGCTTCAGTATGCACGTGGCCAAACAATGAGAGGAATCAAGCATTTTCATGATGGAAAAGCCAAGGGTAAGATGCCTCAGAGTCCCCGGCTGTAGTTCTCACAGGCTGCACTGCAGGGGAGGGAGACACTCAGCTTGCTCCTGGTTGGTAAAATGGCCCTCGGGAGCCACCCAGAAAATGAGACAGGTGGCTTTGGTGAGCTCAGGTAACAAGAGGGTCATTTGGGAGTAGCCTCAGAAGACAGATAAGACTTTAACATTTGTTCTACCATCTGTTTCCCACTCACCAAAATTTGTGCTTTTGAAAAGTCTGATCTCATCTACCCTAAATGCTTAACACTTCTCTTGAGTTCTCCAAAGAATTTTTGAAAGTTCTTATATTAATAATATGTAATAAAAGAGCAAGATAATAAAGAACAAAATACAGGACCAAGTGGGTGGGATAGGTAGGGGTTGAGGGGCGGGGACATAAGCAGATCTGTATAATGGAACTCAGCCAAAGGTTTCCAGCTTGTTCTCTGAACGTTGTGTTTGTATTTAGTCAGACATTATTCCCACAAGGGGAATTGTTTAACAATTCATCAGCTCTCTTCTCCTCTATAATTGAAGACCTCTCAATTGTATTTCAGTAAAGTACAGAATCTGAGGAAGAGAATCCTTAATAGGCAAACCTAGATCAGTATAAAAGAAATGAGCAAGGTAACCGGCACAATTATAAGTGTGATTTTTATGAAACGAGTTCTGTAGTCCTTTGCTTATATTATTAAAAAATGCCTTTGTTTTATAAACTTTGTAGTTAAAGTGTAAAGATAACAGACATCTTATAAGTTCTAAATATCCATGAAACCATCACAACACCTATATTATACATGACAATATTGCACTCGTATTACAGAAAATGGAATGAAGAAATAATAAACTGAATGATTTGACTTAGAGTAAAACATTTGCTCATATTTCTTGAGTACTATGTGCCTCACACAATGCTACTTTAAATATATTATACCTTTTAATACTCAAAATAATCATATAAAGTCAGTATTACTTTATCTTCATAATATATATTAAATAAGTGGGGCTTAGTTTAGTTACTAAGTATGATAGTTCATAACTATAAATAACCAGCTCTTGGGTTTGAATTAAGGTTCTATCATGAAGATTTTCTATAACTATGATTCTTTAATTTTAATTAAGCAAAATTTAGCTCAGGGATTGTGAAAGTTGGAGATAATATCTATTCATCTTTGCAGCTATCTTCATATATTGTTGTTTTAGTATCCTAAAATATACTTTTATTGTTGGCTTATTGCAATAATTTGTAATGGTTTTCATACTGGGCCTTTGGAGGATTCTGATAATTGAACATAGAGGGAGTTCGGTGTTCTCACTCCTCCTTTAAAACTTTTTTTTTCTTAAGATCTTTATTCCTCATCCTTGTCAAAATGTCTATCACTTATTCGTCTACTTTTGCTTTTATCATATTTTATAAGGATTCAATTAGAAAAATGAACCAGATAGGCGTGGTGGCTCACACCTGTAATCCCAGCACTTTGGGAGGCTGAAGTGGGTGGATCACATGAGGTCAGGAGTTTGAGACCAGGCTGGACAACGTGGTGAAACCCCATCTCTACTAAAAATACAAAAATTAGCTGGGCATGGTGGTTGGGCACCTGTAATTCCAGCTACTTGGGAGGTTGAGGCAGAAGAATCACTTGAACCTGGGAGGTGAAGTTTGCAGTGAGCCAAGATTGCACCACTGAACTCCAGCCTGGGTAACAAAATGAGACTGTCTCAAAAAAAAAAAAAAAAAAAAGAAAGAAAAGGAAAAAAAAGGAATCTATGAATGAGGAATTAAGTTATGGCATGCTTCTTTCCAATCAATATTAACACATATAATTTTATCAATTTATAACTCTTAATAAGTTGTCTTGTAAAAATACTGAGGTTTCAAGTTAGGTCTATATTGCTGTCTACTTTGTTCATCATCATTACAAGCACCTTGAATAATATGTCCCATTTCATAGAAGTCAAATCAATAGTTGTGGAACTAATTAATAAAAACAAATAAACTCTTACTAAATGACTTTATATGTACGCCAATTAGCATATACCCAGCATATAACTGTTGGCTATTAACATTAGCCAATATAATAGAAATATATCTTGAAATGTTTTACAATCTAATGGGGAAGATTGAATATGTGCAGAAACACATGTGGCTCTCAAATACTTCCTTTTTATTCTCCAGCTTTTTTGAGGTATGATTGAAAAAAATGCATATGTTTAAAGTGTAAAATGTGATGTTTTCATGTACATATACATTGTGAAATGTTTACCTCACTCAACCTAATTAACACATTCATCACCTCACATAGTAACAATTTCTACAATTTCTATGAATGTGTGTTGAGAACATTTAAAATCTACTTAATAAATTTCAAGTGTACAATATGGTATTAACTATGGTAAGTAGTCACCATGCTGTACATTTAACCTGCAGAACTCATTCATCTTGCATAACTGAATTGTGTAACAGTGACCAATAACTCCTCATGACCCTCTCTTTTCATTCTACTCTTTGCTTCTATAAGTCTGACTTTTGTAGATTTCATATATAAGTGAGATTATGCAGTAATTGTTATTTTATTTCTGGCTTATTTTACTTAGCAGGGTTCTCTAGGTTCATTCATGTTGTTGAAAAATTACAGGAGTTTGTGTAAGACTGAGTAATATCCCATAGTGTATATCAAACACTTTTTAAATAATCAGGGAAATAAAATGTTATTTGCATAATTATACTTGTTTTTTGCATTTGGTCCATTTTCCCCATTAAATTGTAAAACATTCCAAGATATAAGTTGTAATTATGTTTGCTTATAGTTTATTGGATTAAAAAATATTCTAAATGTTTAGGATTCCTTTTATAAATCTACACAATCATTGTTATGAAATATAAAGCTTTGTGATAGTCAACTAATTGACTTTAACTTTTAGTAATAGTGTTTCTCGGTGTGTTTGAGGCCCATCAACCACTTTTTTCAGAATAACCTGAGGCATGTTAAGAAGTGCAGTTTTGGGGGAAAAGGTTCTTAAGTGAAGCTTCTAGCTTTAAATGATTTAACATAAAAAATTCTTCATAAGTAAAGTTGGTTCTACTTGCTCTTTCTTATTTTATAGAAAAATATTAGATTTACTTAGCCTATCAATTTGCAGTCATCATTGTCCAAAAGTGTTTCAGTGTAAATACAGGTATAACCATATTTATGAGCCATGGATAGGTTATGGTCCAAACTTTTGTGTTTACAATTTGGAAAAAAATATTCTATTCCTAGAAGAGAGGTCCACGGCTATGTGCTTCAGAATAACCAAGGATGTTTTCAGCAATGCAGGATAGCCCCTTGACTAGCTAACTACATCAGCATCTCTGAGAGTGGGCCCCAGGAGTACTTATTTTAGACAAACTAGTGATTTTTACTCACACTGAAATCGGAGAAACAGGTATTTCTTTGCTCTTGAGCTGAGAGCTGTAATTTGTTAGTTGTAGCGTCCCAGAGGGGAGGCAGTGCTAGTTATTAGCTAGTACTACTACAAGTCCTTCTGCAGTGGGTGATTCTTTGGTAAGATAATGCAGTCCATGTCAAGGTCACAGACATTCTGAGACTCTGAAAGGTGCTCTACCAGCCCAGACTCCCACTACATGTACCTGGAGGGCAGGATTTTGAAATTGTCATGCATAAGAAAGGATCATTACAAAACAGAAGACCTCAAATTGATGCCTTGAAAACAGATGATTGCTGTATTTAATTACTACCCTATGTCTCTCTGAATTATGAAGACTCCATGTGGCCAAAGAATGATTAGTAAACAAAAAATTCTAACTAAATTAACTAATTAACTCAGACAGAAAACGTTTTTATGTTTTCTTTATGTCAATAACAGAGAAGCCTAAAATCTTGCCTGAGTCAATCAGTATCATCAGGCTGATTGCCAATGATTATCATTCAGTAAATGTATGGACATAGTGACCATATATCACAGTTAGCCTGGTTTTGATACAAGGCTGATCTGATTTAGTGATTAGTGATCAGCTATAAACTGTATCACAAACAGACCTTCTTTCACTTTTCGTAGTGCCCTGGTTTTATGTGAATATCAAGTCTACAGATACACCTCTACAGAAGATTGAGCAGACTCTGACACATCTTTGAATTTGTGTGCATATTCTTAAAATCAAATGTATAACCTGTTTGACTTATGGAAACTGATTTGTCAGGAAAATGTTTTTTATTTAACTGAAGTTTCTGGTAATTTGAATCTGACCCTTTAAAATTTCCTTATGCTATATATTTGGATTTTATTTTAAACACTAGGATGAAGGTGAATCAGAAGCACTGTATGACTCAGGTCCTCTAGGCATTGAGCTATAAAAGTGGGGTCCCATTTATAATTGGAACTAAAGTAGTTTTGCTTGTAGTTTAAAGTCTTTTGGAAGGAACTGAATTGAAAAGTAAATGGCCTAAGCACTCTGAAAGCAGATGATAGAAGACAGTTTGACAAGAAAAGGCAGATAAAAAGACAGGCAAAATGATTTTACTTTATACCAGGAAAGACATTTGGTACTTTCTATTTAAAAGGCTCTTTGTGACCATTAATTAGTTAATCCTAATATCCTCCTGGTAGAACACATCAGCATTATTATCACTTGCTGCAGCAAAACTTGAAATACTGAAAGATTAAGGGGCTTTAGCAAGAATTGAAAGCTAATGAATGGCACAGTAAGAATTGGAACTGAGTCTCTGTCGGGCAATTCTATCTGGAGTCCACCAGGCCACAGTCTCTGTAGTGCAGCCAACATACCACTCTATGATTACAGAAGAGCATTCTGAGGAATGCCCAAGTCTGATAAGGAAAGATCAGCTCAAACAACTTGGAAAGCTAAATGGAATGTGTAAGTCCATGAAGGCATGGAAATGCTGTGTTTGCCTCAGAACGTCTTCCCTCAGAGGTTCTTTGCCTCAGAACTTTGCCTCAGAGAAAGACACGGTTCAGTTTCACCCGAAAGGAAACATGTTCTAAAGAAAATAAGCAATTGGTCTTAGTAAGGGACTATAAATTGTATCAACTTACAGCAAAGAGCAATAGAGAGGGACCCAGGGAACAAAGTTTTTTATGTTTTAAGCTGCATTTATTCAGAAGAAATATAGCTGTCTTTGGAACAAATAGTCCACTGGGATCTCATCAGAAGGAAAAACTCAGTGCGACTTTTAACAATTAGGGAACTTTTAAAAAGTTTAAAATCCGAGAAGAAAGAGGTTACCTTAAAAAAACCTCAGAATTAGTAAACTGTTTGTTCTTGTACCTCATATTAACCAGTAAATTTCGAGTCAATCCCCTGAAAAAACACAATGACAAAATGCTATTAAGCAGATCATAGGAAATAAGATTAGTTGGCAAAATTTTTCTACAATTTTCAAATAGTATTCTCAAGTCCTCCCTTGACAGCTAACAAGTTTTCTTACTTTATATTACATTGGGATGGGGAGTTCTTTAGAAGAAATGATGGACTCCTAATTTATACTCGTAGCAAAACAAATGTCAGCTGTATTACAAATTTAAGTGAAAAAAGAAAAGCACTGGAAGAAAATACATATGACTAAATAATTTGGAGAGAAAACACTTGCTTACGCTTGTAGTATAAATAGACACAAGAAACATATTGTTTTCTATGTAAATAAAATTAAAGAGTAATTTGGAGTAATATTTGCAATGTATTATTCTTATCTTTAATGAATTATATTAGTTCTACAAAGGAGGCTAAGACAAGTCCCAAGAAGCACTATTAGTTGGAGGAATCTTTGTGGACATGACAAGCTTGGTGCTGTTGTCCTTCTATACCAAGAAAAATAACTGGTGGTTATTTGAAGAACAGATGGTTTGGGCTGAGCTTAAAGCTGCTTTTTTGATGAATTAATCACAGCTTCATTCATTGAAGAAAGCTAATATAATAGATAGACTTGTATATATATTTTTTAATTTTTATTTTAAGTTCCAGGGTACATGTGCAGAATGTGCAGGTTTGTTACGTAGGTAAACGTGTGCCATAGTGGATTGCTGCACCTATCAACCCATCACCTAGCTATTAGGCCCAGCATGCATTAGCTATTTTTTCTAATGCTCTCCCTCCCCCAACCCAACCCCTCACATGCCCCAGTGTGTGTTGTTCCTCTCCCTCTGTCCATGTGTTCTCACTGATCAGCTCCCACTTATAAATGAGAACATGCCATGTTTGGTTTTCTGTTCCTGCATTAGTTTGCTGAGGATAATGGCTTGCAGCTTCATCCATGTCCCTGCAAAGGACATGATTTCATTCATTTTTATGGCTACATAGTATTCCATGGTGTATATATACCACATTTTCTTTATCCAGTCTATCATTGATGGACATTTGGGTTGATTCCATGTCTTTGCTATTGTGAATAGTGCTGCAATGAATACACACATGCATGCATTTTTATAATAGAATTACTTATATTCCTTTGGGTATATACCCAGTAATGGGATTGCTGGGTCAAATGGTATTTCTGGTTCTAGATCTTTGAGGAATTGCCACACCATCTCCCACTATGGTTGAACTAATTTATATTCCCACCAACAGTGTAAAAGGGTTCCTATTATTTCTCCACAATCTCGCCAGCATGTGTTGTTTCTTGACCTTTTAAAGCTGCTTTTTGATGACACCCCATCCTTGCTTCTACCACTTCCCTAAGGGCCTCAGACAAGATAATCCTGCAAATATTCAAAAAGTACTGGAGAACCAATTCGTCTTTGGGGAATAAGAATCACCTTTATTAAAGGATAAATATTTACAAGTTGTATTTTATTAGGTGCCAGCAGATACGACCGTGCTCTTATAAAGTAGAAATTAGAGTCTTCTTCCAAAGTAGTAAATTGTGTAGGCATCATCTTTTCATCCTGTATTATATCTATATATTTTAATCCTAAGCCTATCTTCTTCAGATCAAGAAAAAGGCACAATTTCTGCCAATATATTTATTTACCTAAATAGATATTCAATGTGACACTGCAATTTTCCACTGCCATGTCCTTATGAATCTCTAAGATGCATTATCTGAATTTTTGTGACTCAATTTCAGAGAGAGAATTTTGAAATGGACAGTATGGATTCACATAGGACTACGGTTCTCACTCTTTAACGTGCATCAGACTCTCCTGGGGGACTTGTTATAACATATATTTCCAGGTCTTAATCCCCAGAATTTCTAATTCAGCAGGTCTGGGGGATGGTTTGAATTTGCGCTTTTAACAAACGTCCATGTAATGCCAACACTGCCAATCTGGGGAGTGTACTTTTAGAAGTATTGATTTAGAGAAATGAGAAACAAAGTAAGAACTCACATATTCCACCTAATATTTCTAACACCATGGAAACAAATATATTTAAAGCAGACATCCAGAAAACAAATTTGCCTTACAATTTACACAAGTACAAATCTATTGATTTATGATATGGCAATGGAGATGTTATGTGGTGATAGAGCTAGGAATTAACTTCTTTATATGGCTTTTACAAATTTTATAGTTTTAAGTAATGAACATATGAATTCCAAAGTTTAGAATAAAATGAAGTAATTTATTTATCAAGATTGTAGTGAAGCCAACTGATCTTCAGTTCAGCATTATTAAATATTTAATGAAATTAAATGGTAGATGGCACAAATGAGAGTAATTAAATGAGAATTCTGTTTTTACTTCTTATGTCATTATCTGAAAATCATTTTTTTCCTTTAACTTCTGGAATCAGCCATTCAAATACTATTGCAAGCCATCAATTTCTTATTTGAAGCTTAGTAAGCTTTCAGAATTTTCATGTCTTTGTCAGTATTGTGGATAACAGTTACTCATTACCTTGTGGGTGTACTGAATTAGGTTAGTAAAATCTCAACCTTTTCAAAGATCATACTTCTGTAATGCCTCTCCTTAAATGAACAAGAAAATGTTTTGAAGTTAAAAAGCAGATCTCAAACACTAAGGAAAAATGTACATGCACGAGGAAAGTCCAGCTAAAGCTCCTGTGTGTCTGCTCACATTATTTAGTAACTGACTAGAGTGCAGAGCATTCTCGTTTTCCCTCAGCAATTGTGGTTTTTGCCATTACTTTTAATAAATCAGTTGGTTGTGTGTGTGTGTACCCATATATGTGTGCATATGTGTGTACAGGAACACATGCATATCTATGTGTGAGGTGGAGTACCTGGCCACAAGCAATGAGGGCAAACTTTTCATCTCTAAACTATTATGAATATAATCATTATAGATTTCTTTTGGGATGTAATTGTATAACAACAGTGATTATGACCACTCTTTCTCTTTGTGACCAGTGACAGTAAATGAGTGATTTTGTGTTTTTACCTATTTATTCCTAAAAATTCCTAGTAAATGCTTTATCATTTTTATAGCAACAAAACCTTGGCTCATTTTACAATTTCTAATAGCATCTACCTGATTATCCTTTATTCCTTTACCTATAGGAACAGGCATTTAATTGGTTAGCATGCCTGAAACGGACGCCTTCTTGTTCTATTTCAGGGATCATTTCTCTCATCATTCATTAGGCCTAGAAATCTAATGTTGTAAGAAGTACCTTTTCCTCCTGATTTCCTAGATGAGAGGTTTTGACACCCTTCTTGCCTTTCACTGCCCCTTGATTCACTCTGCTTCTGCTTGAGTTACCCAAAGCCATGTTCCTGTTTGGAAACATCTGGACCAGCTCGGTTCTGCTCTATCCCTGTTCCTCTAGGGAGCAAGATGCCTGCAGTGAGTGGCAGTTTTGCTGCACTCCAGGGAGAACCAGCTCTTCTTGAGGGAAGCATCTCCAGTCTTGTACTGCCTTGATGAAGTGGTTAAATATAAAGAATTCTGGAGCTCAGGATTAGCAGGCCCTCTTTGTTAACAGTCCCACACCCAAGACTTCTAATTTTGCCTCTATCAGTAAGGAGGGAGAAACTTTGCTTCATAACTGGAGTAGGAAAGGGAGGTACTACTTGTTGTGCCTACTACTGCAGACCACAATGCTAAGGATAAATCTCATCCTAATCTTCCATCCCTATGGGAGCTTTTGGATTTTGTAATATTCCTAAATCCTTCTGTATATTTCCCTTCCCATAAAGGTATGGTTTCAAGATTTCTTTCATTTTCTCTCTCCACTGTATGTGTATGTGTGTGTAGATATCTATGGTATGATGCGATATGTAGATATATATGTGTAATGTTCTTTGTCTAGCTTTTCTTAGATACTGCCTTCCTTCATGCTGTCTTTTCCTTTCAGTGGCAACTCCCTACCTAAGTCATTCCTCATCGACCTTGCCAAACTATTACAACTTTTTCCTCTACTTAACTATTTACTCCTGTGAAAAACCAATGTTTGATATCTAATACAGATAAAAGAGACATCAATAAATAAGAACAAGAAAGAAAACAACATAAAAAGTGAATCAAGATAATAAAGATACTATTTCTAATTACCAATAAAAATATATATTAGTCAATAAATGGATTGGAACACCTGAGTAAAATTGAACAAATATGTCTCTACATTATACTTTACACAAGATAAATGCCAGGTAGACTAAATAATTAAAATAATAACCATAAATCATAATAAAGAATATAAAAATGAATTAAAAAATGACAAAGTTCAGAAAGAAATGAGAAATTTATAATATTGAGTTGAATATGAGACAATGCTCAAAATCATAAAGGAAAGCATTTTGTAAATTTAATTATAACAAAATAATCTTTAAATCATGCATAGCAAAATGTCTCGATCGATAGTAATTGGACACTATTTGTCAAAATGACAAATGCATACATTCTTCTTTACATTAGCAATTCTTGTCCTGGGATTATTTCCACAAATATACTGGCATGTTTAACAAAGCTACATCTAAAAGAACATTCATTTTAGCATGGCTTATAAATACAAAATATTGGAGAGTAAATACAAAATATTGGAGAGTATAACTGTCTTTCCAAAAAGGACTGATTAATTTTTGGTATGCAATTGGAGATAAATACAGCAGTTTAAAAAATGAGGCAGCTTGATGTTACAGATTGATTTAACTTGTGAATTAGGGAAAATTACAGTGTAGAACAATAGATGTAGTATGTTATCTCTTAGGTAACGAAGATGAAGATGGAAACAAAAAAAGATATAAAAACAGTCCTATAAGAACATATAAGAAATCAGTAATTGTGATTCATCTCGTGAGAAGATAGTGAACAAGGAAACTGGAGTGAGAGTGTTATTGTCCATCATATAATTTTTGGAACAGCATATAATTTCAGAGAATTAAAAGTTCTCGTTATATATGTATTACTTCATTCTTGTTATATATGTATTACATATTAAAATGAATATTTTAAAAGGACAAGTCTGTATCTATAAACTCTCTCTGAAAATTACATAAGATCTTAAGCTTATTTATAACCATCTACTCCATTTTTCTCCATTTCCCAGGATTTGTTGAAAATATCTGCAGTTTTAGCTCTAGAATTTTATTAACTTTAAATTAAAAACACCTGGAACATGGTGCCATATATTAACAAAAGCTATATATAAAGATTTGGTAAGATGCCAGGTCTGTAACTAAGATATGTGTATCTATTGGACATATGAATGTCAGTTTTACCCCTGACTCTGAAGTTGCCACTATCAAGGGTGAGAGCAGCTCTGTCTGAACATAGGTACATGGGGTACACCTGGTATAGAAGGATTCTAGAGATAGTTTAGGGAGATAAGATTTAATGATATATAATTTAAAGAAACCTTTAGAAAACTTGGCAAGAATATTAATCATTATTACTTAGTCTACAAATGTTGGATTTCAGAGAAAGCTACAGTATCACCTTAACCAAATCTTGCCAGTCTATATGACCTCCCATTACTCCATTACTTTACTTCTCTTTCTATCTGTGCCCCTTCTACAAACTCTTGGTTTCCTGGCTTCCTTCTCATTCCACTAGCTATCTTCACAGTGCACTTCCCATCACCGGCTGGGGTAGATTTCAGAAAAGAACACACTGCATTTTAGCTTACCCTCTCAAGAGGTGGAGTCTACTGCTGCATTCTTTACATCAGGGCTGGCCTTGAGCTTTCTTTGACCTATTGGGTGGCAATGATGTTGTGCAAGTTCATAGCCTGTGCTTCAAGAGACCTTCCTCTCCTGCTGCTAATGAAACCCTGTGAACAACATGACCAAGAGCAGGCTAGTCTCCTGGTTGATGGAAGATATGTGGCCCATAAGCCTTCTCTGCCCCAGCATACAGTTGGTGAAAACGCAGAAGAGCTGTCTAGTGGACCAGAAGTTGACCACAGACACATGATGACTCTACCTAAACCAGTAGAATCACTCAGCTGCACCTGGCCGAGGTGCTGTACCCACAGAATCGTGATCTAATTTTATGGCTGTTGTTTTAAACCACGGAGTTGGGGGGTGGTTTGTTATGCAGCAACAGCTCATTGTTACATAACCTTCCAGGAAGAGCCCTCTGACTGGTTTCTCATCTCCAATGTCAGTAATTAGTGTCAGCTTAATGAATGATCTTTCACAATACTTTTCAGATACACACACACACACACACACACACACACACACACACACACACGTCCCTAAAGTGAGGAATTTTCTTTTTTTTTATTTCTCGGAATTTAGGCAAAAGTTCATCTTCCCTATTTCTATTCTCCCGCTGCCCTATCTTTTCCTTCCCACTATCACACTTTTCTTTACTGGCAAGATTCGTCTTCTACAGAGAGTTTCTTAATTCTAATCACCTCATTCATTATCACTTTGCTCTAGTTAGTTATCTAGTATACAGATTGTACTAAACTATCTTGGAGTTGTTGACATGTCATGTTGTAACAATTTTCTAGGCCAGAATTTCTTATATTGGGTCCTTAGAAACAGTATTAAACTTTAAGACATTAATAATACTTTTTCAAAGAAATAGTTTTGATTAAATACATCTAATATATATTGGGGTGAATAATAAGTTGTGTTGTGTGTGTGTGTGTGTTGTTTTTGTTTTTTGGGTTTTGTTTTTGTTTGTCTTTTATTTTTAAATTATTTTTCCTTGATAACATTGTGTGAATTGTTAACCACCAAGGAAGTATAGCAGGCCCCACAGTATCTCAAACTATGGAACCGTTAACATTTTACTCAATAGATTTCAGGAAATGTTACCTTAATATTACCTTAGGCTTAAATACATAAAATTCACTGTTAAACAAGATGTTTAGTCCTTAAATGCCTGTGCGAGGAAAAACAAGAAAGAGAATTCATTAGTGATATAGAAACTAAAGAAAGACCCTTCAAATTTTTTTTTCCTAAAATTTAGTACTACGAATTTCTAGACAATGAAATTTCCTTTGGATTTTAGGTTATCTTATATTTGCCTTTGTGACTGAAACAGATATTTTAAATAAGATATTGGTTAATCCCTGATTCCATGACTTCAGTAACTCCCATAAGCACTGGAAGACATATATAAATATAATAGTTTTATAAAAAGTTGATTTTGTGTGTAACAGACTAAACTGTGTCCACAGCACCCTCATTTGACTCCAGATTGATTATAGGTACAACCAACATCTTGATCCCCTCACACCTTAAGGAGAGCCTGGGCAGCCAGGGCTCCAGGCCCATCCCTTCTGCCCACATCAGCATTTTATCCATTTACTCAATATGCTGTACAAGTTGTATCATTTTCTAGACATGCTATGAAATATTTTGGAACCACTAATTTCCAAACTTCAGGAGGCTCAAGTTTCACCTGGTATACTTGGGAAAACACAAGCCCTGGGGCCCTTCCCAGAGTTTCTGATTTAGTCAGTGAGTGGTGGAGCCAGAAATCCACATAACAAATGGGCACTTCAGATGTTTCTCAGGCAGATGGTCCAAGGACCTCCTTTTGAAAAAACACTGGTCGACCAGTAGTCAGTATCTGTTAACAGGAGAAAGGAAAATACAATTTTCCTTCCTTTGAAACTTCTTTATATATATATATATATATATATTTATTATACTTTAAGTTCTAGGGTACATGTGCACAATGTGCAGGTTTCTTACGTATGTATATGCGTGCCATGTTGGTGTGCTGCACCCACCAACTTGTCATTTACATTAGGTATATATCTCCTAATGCTTTCCCTACCCGCTTCCCCCACCCCACAACAGGCCCTGGTGTGTGATGTTCCCCTTCCTGTGTCCAAGTGTTCTCATTGTTCGATTCCCACCTATGAGTGAGAACATGCGGTGTTTGGTTTTTTGTCCTTGGGATAGTTTGCTGAGAATGATGGTTTCCAGCTTCATCCATGTCCCTACAAAGGACATGAACTCATCCTTTTTTATGGCTGCATAGTATTCCATGGTGTATATGTGCCACATTTTCTTAATCCAGTCTATCAATCATTGATGGACATTTGGCTTGGTTCCAAGTCTTTGCTATTGTGAATAGTGCCGCAGTAAACATACGTGTGCATGCGTCTTTATAGCGGCACGATTTATAATCCTTTGGGTATATATCCAGTAATGGGATGGCTGCATCAAATGGCATTTCTAGTTCTAGATCCCTGAGGAATCACCACACTGTCTTCCACAATGGTTGAACTAGTTTACAGTCCCACCAACAGTGTAAAAGTGTTCCTATTTCTCTACATCCTCTCCAGCACCTGCTGTTTCCTGACTTTTTAATGATCGCCATTCTAACTGGTGTGAGATGGTATCTCATTGTGGTTTTCATTTGCATTTCTCTGATGGCCAGTGATGATGAGCATTTTTTCATGTGTCTTTTGGCTGCATAAATGTCTTCTTTTGAGAAGTGTCTGTTCGTATCCTTTGCCCACTTGTTGATGGGGTTGTTTGTTTTTTCTCTGGAGTATTACCACATTTAGAGAATGAGAGTAAAGACATTTAAACTTTAAAGTTTACATTCTCTAAATGTGGTAATGCTCCAGGGCTCCTTTCTGCATTTCTTTCTCCCTCCCTGGGTGACCTAGTTTGGTACCTTGGCTTTAAACACCATCTACATCCTGATGACCCCAAAGTTTTTATTTCCAGTCGTGACCACTTTGGTGAACTCTGAAATTGGTTATGTAATTTCTGCTTATCATCTCCATTCAAATTTATAATAAGTAAGTAGTTCAATGTGACATGTCCAAAACTAAATTTTTACTTTTATCCCCAAATCTTTTTCCCTCTATGAGTTTCCACTTTAATTAATGGCATTGCTTTCTACATTCTCAGTTGTTCTGGCCAAAAGTTTTGGTGTCATTCTTACCTCTGTACTTTTTTTCTTTCTTCCCACAAGCAAACCATCAATATAGCCTCTCAGCTCTGTCTTTGAAATATATTCAGAATTTTAACTATCTCATTATCTCTACAGCAATCCTGTAATCTAATCTATCCCCTTTTCCACCTGCTGTCCAACCCCTCTGTAGCATCCAGAGTGGGTCATTTAAAATGCAAGTGAAATCGATCACCTTACCCCTCCACTCAAACCTTCCAAAGGCTCCCATCTCACTCAGAATGCGACCCAAAAATTTCGTCATGGCCTAAGAGGCTTTACGTGATATAGCTCGCTGGAATTTTTTTTTTTCTTTTTGCTCATCTCTGCCATTCTCCCTCTCACTCCCACCTCTGCTGCCACACTGGCTCCTTTTATGTCAAGTTCACGTGCCACTCAGCCTCCCAGCTGCACCTTTGCACTCACGGGTTCCTCTGCATGAATTACTCTCACATACCCTTCAGGTCTCTGACAAATGCCACCTTCTCAGAGGGGCCTTTTCTTATTACACCAATATCACTCTGTAGGATTCTTATTCTATTTTTGATCACATCTATTACTCAGTTGACATATTAAATTTTTTTATCTGTATCTCTCCAAAGTAATCTCTGTAAGAGTAGGAAATTTACCTATATGATTCATTGCTGTCGCCCCAGCATCTAGAAATGTGCTTGTTTCAATTAATAAGTCCATAAATGATCGTATCAAATACATATTTAGTGAATATTGTAGTATCATTCATTCACATTGAAAACACTATTAGACAGAACCTCTCTCAGACACACATCAAGGGCAACAGCTGTGAATTGGACGTATGACAATTAAGGTAAACGGACAGTACTTGATTGCTGGGCCTTGGCCACCCTCTGCTTTGCTCCCGCATCCATGCTATCACCAGTATAAATGCCTCCTGGCAGACTAAACTGCATTCTGTTAAAGGTATTCGGAATGCACACTTGAGTAACATATGGAGATATAAAAAATAACTGCATTATCAGAAGTTCTTAAGTAAACTATTGAAAATGTTGTCATTCAACATTTCAGGTTCTTGCTCATAAATAGATTTTCCAAGTATGTATAGAGCTCAAGGCTTGATGAAAACAGTATATGTTCAAGCATTTGATGTGGCAGAATTATTGTTGCTGTGAATACTTTTTAAAAAATCTCTTACTTTTGGCACTCAAAATTTCTTTTTTTTAACACTTGGAAACTCAGCACTGAACAATTTAGTCTTATTCTGAATTATCCCATAATATATTGAACAATTTGAATGGACATATAAACTGAGCTATTCCAAAGCCATACCATAATAAATAGTGCAATGTTACAGTTGCATTACATAAATACTATCATTTCTTGAATTTGGGCATGCATTTGTTCTTTTGCAGTGCTGAAAAGATGGGTAGGAGGATTGAATTTGCTGTGTTAATGAGATTTTTCTACACTGCAATGACTCCCTTGCACAGTTTTATTTTTTTGTAAAGGTGATAAATTACTAAACATATGCTATGTGACTCGAAGTTGCTTGGTGAAGAGGATGAGATTGATGAGCCCAGATGGGCTCTTCCAATGAAGACAGAAACCCAAGATGGTTCAAATTTTAATTAGATCTGCTAATAAGATGTATGTAGAGAAGAGGAAGACTTAAGATCTTTCTAAAATCATTTATTCATTCACCAATATGTGTTATGTGCCTGTGTGCTAGAACATGTATTAGAAACTAGAAACTCATTGACGAAGACAGTCCTGGCTCTCAGAGAACTTATATTGTACTCAGGGCTCTCTAAATATCGGGAATTATGGGAAAATTCTACGTATGCATACATAGATGTCTGAGCAAACTGGGATTTGAAGGGGAAGGAACTCTATTATTTTCCAAGCTATTCCCACTGAAAGCACTCACCATTATGTCCATTTCCTGATGGTCAGCAAGCGTTTATCTCTTCCATTCTGCATGTCCCCTGAAGGACCAACACAGGCCATTATTCTTTGCTATGCTTTGGAGAGCTTTATGTCATAGTGCTTATTTATGACAATATTTTATCTCTTTTGCAGTTCTTGGTGCTTTTGAAACTTAATTCTTTTTTTTCTTTTTTTTAAATTTTTTTTAGTATTTATTGATCATTCTTGGGTGTTTCTCAGAGAGGGGGATTTGGCAGGGTCATAGGACAATAGTGGAGGGAAGGTCAGCAGATAAACATGTGAACAAAGGTCTCTGGTTTTCCTAGGCAGAGGGCCCTGCCACCTTTTGCAGTGTTTGTGTCCCTGGGTACTTGAGATTAGGGAGTGGTGATGACTCTTAACAAGTATGCTGCCTTCAAGCGTCTGTTTAACAAAGCACATCTTGCACCGCCCTTAATCCATTTAACCCTTAGTGGACACAGCACATGTTTCAGAGAGCACGGGGTTGGGGGTAAGGTTATAGATTAACAGCATCCCAAGGCAGAAGAATTTCTCTTATACAGAACAAAATGGAGTCTCCTATGTCCACTTCTCTCCACACACACAGTAACAGTCTGATCTCTCCTTCCTTTCCCATTTCCCCCTCTTCTATTTGACAAAACCGCCATCGTCATCATGGCCCGTTGTCAATGAGCCGCTGGGCACACCTCCCAGACGGGGTCGCCGCAGGGCAGAGGGGCTCCTCACTTCCCAGACGGGGCGGCCGGGCAGAGGCGCCCCCACCTCCCAGACGGGGTGGCGGTGGGCCAGAGACACTCCTGAGTTCCCAGATTGGGTCGCGGTCGGGCGGAGGCGCTCTTCACATCTCAGACAGGGCGGCGGGGCAGAGATGCTCCTCACTTCCTAGACGGGGTGGCGGCCAGGCAGAGGCTGCAATCTCAGCACTTTGGGAGGCCAAGGCAGGCGGCTGGGAGGTGGAGGTTGTACCAAGCCGAGATCACGCCACTGCACTCCAGCCTGGGCAACATTGAGCACTGAGTGAGCCAGACTCCGTCTGCAATCCCGGCACCTCGGGAGGCCGAGGCTGGCAGATCACTCGCGGTCAGGAGCTGGAGACCAGCCTGGCCAACACGGCGAAACCCCGTCTCCACCAAAAAATACGAAAACCAGTCAGGCGTGGCAGCGCGCGCCTGCAATCCCAGGCACTGGGCAGGCTGAGGCAGGAGAATCAGGCAGGGAGGTTGCAGTGGGTTGAGATGGCGGCAGTACAGTCCAGCCTTGGCTTGGCATCAGAGGGAGACCGTGCAGAGGGGGAGACGGAGAGGGAGAAGGAGAGGGGGAGGGGGAGGGGGAGGGAGAGGGAGCTTGAAACTTAATTCTTATCTAATCTTAAATTCTGCCAATGTGTAAGATATCTTTAAAACAATCATGTAAGTAATCGATCTGTTCTGCTTTCAATCAACACAGCATAATTCATTTATCTGGTCACCAATGGACAATGTTCTCTTCCTAAATTTGCATATGTGAAATTCCGTTCAAAAACAAAACTGTAGAATTGTCTGCCACTGTGGTCAGCTACCTGATGACCATATTATAAGATGAATATGGTACCAGAAGCTGGGTGGGGAATATTTCAACTTCAAACCCTAATTACTGCTTTTAGTTTTAAAGAGCATAAAAATATTTCTCATGTCTCCCTCTGACAAGAAAATAACTCCTTTCTTGATTTGAAGAAAAGCTTGACCCAATGATATCTTAGACAAATGGTTTGATTTCCTCATGCTTTGAATCTGATAAAAGTAATTATTTGACCTAATCACTTGTTTGTAAATAGCAAAGAAAAAAAAAAAGAATTCAAGCTAAATGATGCCATCAGATTGAGTAAGAGTCAAGGCCCTTGTAGGTCCCCATCCAGCTTGCATGTGAGACCTTAACAATAGTGTGCATTCAAAAGGAGTTGATTACAATTTTCCCCAAACTGTAAGTACTAATAAAAGTTTATTATCTTACTAAGTCATAGTTACTAGATGCTGTACATGCTTGGAAGTCAACTCAGTAATTGTCACACCCAACATGTGCCAATCCCCAAATAGAATTATATTTTTAACAGTTTCATCATTTGCCTTCATCAGTCATCCCTATGGGGAGGTTTCCAGTGGTAACACCAAAGCACTCTTTCCAAGTGACAGTTTTCCATCTCAAAAAAAAAAAAAAAAAGAAAGAAAGAAAGATAATTTCTTCTAATATTGGAAGTATTTAAAATTTAATGTTTTGACTGTCTTTTTTCAGTTAGAAATATCCAGAGGACATTAGTAGGTCAGTAGCACAAGGGTGGTATTTATATTCACTCAGAAGTTTAGAAAATATCACTAGTTCATTTTAAAAAAGAGGAAAGAAGAAAGCAAAAGCAACCATGTATTGTTCTGAATCACCAGACAAATATTATTTCAATCTTGTTCTGAGTCACCAGACAAATATTATTTCAATCTCCCTTGTCTCGTTTTGCTTTTCACCTCTTTGGATCTCTTAGCAACCATCATTTTTATGCCTAGAAACAAAAAAAAATTCTGGTATGAAGTAAGTATTTGGGTAGTTGTTGGTTTGGTTTTCTTTAAGTAAATCCAGGTTTATTCTGGTTAGAATAATACAGGGGAAACAAGGTTATATTGCCTCTTTCCTGGGATGGTAATAAAAACAATCTTCAAAATATAATTTGAAGCATAGGAGTGCAAGCATCATCTTCTAGAAATACTGAGAACACAGGACTCTTGAGCCTCCCTAGACCTAATTACTGCTAAATTGGAAAAAGTATCTGGAATTGCTTTGGATTGTGAATTTGATGTGCTACAGATCAATGTAATTTTATTAGTTCTGGGTATTTAGAGCTTTGCATACCGCAAGTTGTTTCTCAGCATCAAAAAGAATATAATTTCAAAAACTGCATTATTACCAAAACAGACCAGGATAGAAAGAAATAGTGCTAAAGGAAAAGCGGGATATTGGCCACTAATCTAAGTGACCTCCGCAGTCAGATGAACAGGCTCCTAACAAGTTCTGGCACCTACCAGCTGTGTATGTTTGGTAAGTTATTTAATATGTCTGCTTCTTTTTCAAGAAAATTGAGCCAATAGTGACTACGTCATGGAACTGTTGTGAAAGATGTTTTTTCTTAAAAAAAAAAATTGCATAGAATAGTTTGCCTACTTCCTCATAACTAGTAAATGCTTAATACATTTTTATTATTATTTTGTACCTTCTGTAGCCACTACTGTATATCTCCAAACCCCACCCTTATCCAAACATTAGTTAAAGCCACGTACCTATCAATCCACCATAATGATTTCCCATAGGTTTCGCTTGTCCTCTATGACTTATGTAGACCCACAAGTTATCATTACAAGTTGAAAATCAAATTCATGATACTTTCTTCCCAACTGGCTCCATTCCTCCCAACTCCTAATGGTGTGTGTCTGCTATGCTCTGCAGCCCCTAGAATCTTCTAGCACCATTCCTTTCCTCAATTCCTCATAGTCACCCAACCACCCAGTGCGGTTAAGTATACCTCTAAAATATATTTCCTTTCCATCCCTTCTTCACTGTTCATCCTCATTGCTACTTGCCACATTTTACATTTTGTTATCTGCACTAAGGATAATTGAAATAACCATTCGCCTGATTTCATAGTCTGTAGGCATTGTGTCCCTGAAATCTGCCACTGTTACAAGATCATTCTTCACAGAGGAAAGTTCAGATTGTATTATTCATCTTCTCAAAACCTTTCCACATCTTCCCACTGCCTGTCTACTGAATCAGATACGAACACCCTAGCTTGACATATCAGACAGCATGAACACTATTTTCCCCACCGTTTCCCTACAGAACACTTAATTGATGTATGCTTTAATATATTTCATTAGAATTTGGGTCTGTATGTCTGCCTTCCATCTCCTGCCTTTGCTTAGGCTGTTCCTCTACCTAGAATGCCCTTCCTCCCAACCCTACCCATCAAAAATTGAATACATGCTTTAATATCATTTTATTCATGTGAACTTTTTAATCCTCTGTTCTAAATTTTTTTAAATTTTATCTGGC
The DNA here is from genome assembly GCF_000001405.40 of Homo sapiens. Classification (NCBI taxonomy): domain Eukaryota; kingdom Metazoa; phylum Chordata; class Mammalia; order Primates; family Hominidae; genus Homo; species Homo sapiens. The sequence continues at coordinate 76,291,930 of NC_000013.11, read as the reverse complement.
ATAAATGTGTGTATCTTCATTATGGCACTATCAGTGATGATAGTATTTAATACATCAGCACAGTTCTTTGCTGCTTATAGGTTTGCCTTTTATATTACTTTATTTATAAAATGATGTATATTCTATTCTGTGTTGCTAATTTGCATTTTAATTGGTATTCCTAGTGATACTGCTTTTGCCCTAAAAAGCGTTTTTTCTCTCTTTAGATAACTGAGCCTTTATGAGGAGAAAAGAATTTGTACTATAACTCAGATAGACGGCTATAAATTAGATAAAACTGCAAAAGAACATAGATTCCCAGTAGTCGTGTGTGTGTGTTTGTGAGAGATGCCTCTTCTAAGGCCTATTTTGTGCTGGCTGTTAGTTGGATAAGAAAGGTATAAAAGAAATACCTTTACAAATACTAATTTACTTTAGCTGTGATGAATGCCAGTAAGAAGACTGAATATAATGAGGAAGCCATGCAGCAACAGTGATAGAAGCAAGATTAGAACAAATAGCGGTTGTTTTAGAAGGGAGAAAAAAGAACAGTGAAGTTTAATACAAAAAAGAAAAATTTCTAGAGAGTAATATTTACAAAAAGAAGTTATAAAATGCCTGCAAAAATATAAATGGATTTAAAGTGTGATACAAAACAGGAGTCAACAAATTGTAAGATTTCATTTCAGTGAAAAATTAAACAAAATGTGATACACACACACACACTAGAATATCATTCATCCTAAAAGAAGAAGGAAATCATGGCACGTGCTACAACATGGACGTGTTGTACGTGCATTAAGCCAGTCATAAATAGATGCATACTATATGATTCCACTTCTGTGTATATACACCAGTCAAGTTCATCAAGACAGAAAGCAGAATGATGGTTACCAGGACCTAGAGAGAGGGGTAAATGGGAGTTGTTGTTAAGTGAGTATAGAGTTTCAGTTTTGCAAAATAAAAAAATTCTGGAGGTCTGTTCCACAGCAATGTGAATATACTGAAAATCACTGAACTTTACACTTAAAATTTGTAAATTTTATTTCACATATTTTTTGCCTTATACACCAAAAAATAACCCTGCAGAGTTCTTACTTCTGTCCAAAGGCCCAGTGCTACACATGTAATATGCTTTCTTGCTAGTCTCTCCCTTGCATTCTCAATAATGACCACTCTGGCATCTTTGTTACTCTTCAAATACACTTAGCACACTCCAGGCCTAGGCCTTTACACTGGGCGTTCTGTTCTTCCCAGTTTATTTGTTTCAACTACTGCCTAATTCAAGTCCTGGTCAAATATAACTTCCGTAGAAAGTCCTTTCTTGCTCATCTGGCATTCAATCTAAATCATTTTCTATTTCTCTACCCTGGTTTGTTTTTGGTGTTACTTGCCACCACCTGAGATTATATATTTGTTTATTTATTTTCTGTTTTTCCCATTGGAATATGAATGTCGTTAAGGACTGTCTTATTGATTGTTCGTTGTTTCAGACCCAAGTTCTGTAGTAGTGCCTGGTATATGTTCACTATGAGAAGCGATTTCAAATCATCCTGTCCTCTGCTCCCATCCTCCATCACCCTTTCCAACTCCTCTTAAAATAAAGGAGACAAGTTCTTTAATTCTAAAATATTTAATCTTGGGAAAGTAATGAACTATAACTTATATTTACAAGAAGGAGTATGACAGGAAATATGTTTGAAGATAGGTTTTGATAGAAATATGAGACTTGGACTTAACATGCTCTCTCTATATATGGGGGGGGGTTACTTTGAGAACAAAAGTTATGTTGGGATTTTTTATTTCATAATTTCTAATAATTTCTCTAACAGAAACATATCCTGAAAGCCTAAATTTGTTCTCAATATTCTTTATGATTTAAAAGTTTACATTAGTGTATGCATTATAATAATCTTCTATATCCAAGAGTATATGTAATTCAAAATTGAATGATTTTGAACATATTTTGCAAGAATATGTATTTGCTTTTGTTTGGGACTTAAGTAGGTTCAATTCACTTTGCAAACCCCTTTTATGTTTCCAGTTCTTAGCTCTAGACATAATACCCTTCACAGATGGTGGATGTCATTTGATCCTGGCCCTTTCTAGCAAATTCACATATGTCAGCAAATGAGCCTAAAACAACTCTGGGTTTCAAATGCAAAACATTTGTAAATTGCACTGATTCATAATCAGGACAACATAATAAACTACAATCTAGTCATTCTCAGCAGGCCTTATTCAGCAGAAAAAGCCATAGAATGGAGCCAAGAGAGGATGTTGAGCTTGGCTCTTCAGTACCAGGCTTTTGGATATTCAGTTACTTGCCTGTGGAAAGTACTGGAATGACAGCCTTGGAGAAAAAATTCCACATCATTTCAGAACACAGAATAAAAGGGCAGGCTTGCCTGTGACCACAGGGCTCACAAAGAAACTTAGTTCTTAAGGAATCTTCATTTTTCCAACTTGGATCAAACACTTTCACAGTCAACAAGTTATGTCCTCTACCACCCCATCGCCTTCATCCAAGCTGGCTTTATTTATTAATTTAACATCCATTATTATTTATATTTTTGTATCAACCAACTTGAATTCCTATGGCATAAGAGGGGTTGTTTAAAAAAGCAGAACATTTCTATTATAGTTGTTATGTTCAGGTACAATATTATTTCTTTTTACATCCTGAGAGAAGGGGGTGCAGAGTCATATAATGCAGAACCATGGTGGCATTTTAAATGACTTCTCAATTCTCAGTAGGGGTCTTGTTTAAAGTGAGAAGTTCCTTGATAGGACAAGAGCAGAAATAATGCAGAAAATTGGTTTAAACAATTCTGAGGTACATTTATATGAAAGTCATGTAACCGTGAAGCATCAAATTAAACTAAAATACTTAGGGAAAATAAAGTGCCTGAAATATTTGATATTTTCTGCAGCCTTTTATATTTTAAAAGAATAATTCTCTGTTATTCTCTTCTAGAGAAATAAATGGGTCAATCAGTTTTGTCATTTGTGCACTTTGGGGAATTTAGTTAAATAAAAAACGAGTCCCCCACCGAAAAAACAAACAAAAAAACCAACCCAGCTAACGCATCTAACTAATTTGAACCACATAGAATTAGACTATCTCAATATTTCAAAGGCTAAATAACTCAAAGAGTTGTTAAAGTCATACATAATCTGTAAACAAAGGACATAAATTTGAGAGTGACCATCTTTCCACAAAAGGAGCTTTGTAATTTTATACACCACAAATTCACAAGGCTGCTGAATCTGAAGACTTCACTTAGTTGCGATAAACATCCCTCTCTTTTAGTAACACATAACACTCTGCAACTCTAAGAAGGTTCTTGGTTATCCTCCGCATAGTATAGTCTTTCAATTGCTGGATGATTGTTCTTTTCCTCAAAGTAAATACAGATGTTATTGCTGCAGCAATATTAAACTTTGAGCATGATCAAAAACCTTTCCATGAGTGCTAAAATCCTCTGAAAATTGTATGAGTAGGAGGTTAATATATGAAGTACAGAAAAAAACTGATTTTTGTGTGATTCCCTTATATCCACAGCATATAAAACTTTTAAAACTTGAAACACATTCAAAATTATTCAAATTTAACAACAATGACCTAAGATATGGGTTTTCTAATAACTTCTGATATAAAGATCAGGTGAAACATTATCTAACTAATGAAATAATATCTGTGTAAATTATTAAAATTGGGAATATTTTGCTTTGAGATGTTTTAATCATTTCACATTTTTGATTAGTTACTTATATAAAATCTTAATCTGGAATGATTTGAAGTAGCCTAAAAAGATTTGGACACTACATAAAGACAAATTCATATTAAAAACTAAGAGAAACATAATAAGAGAAAAATAAGAACAAATACAATGAATTTCAGAGTGAGAGCCACAAATATTGGAGGGAGTGAAAGCCTACAATATAAAATAGGAAAACATAGAAGGATCATAGTAGCCATAAGTTAGTTAAAAGCAAACCAGTTGATTGGGACAAGCATAAGTATCCCTTTTAATTAGAGAGTAGAAAAATTACTCTGTGTCCTTATGAGAGATCCTATAAGACGGATTTAACTAGTACTCCTCATATCCTCCAAAAAACACAGTACTATGTGTAATTGTATTGTTTCTGTATAATCTACTTTTATGTATGCTGATGACATTACAACAAAACACAGTTCTGTATTATAACTATACTTACTGCCTGTGCATTGCTCTTTGCAATAAAACCCACCTCTGTTCTGGTCTCTCTGAGAGTTCAGCTTAATACAGAGGCAAGTTTTATTGCAAAGAGGAGTGCACAGGCAATAAATACAGTTTACATGGCATTTTTTTGTCTTAAAACATGTTTTATTACTTATCCCTTAATCTCATTTTAGGTGGTAAGCTTCATGAGAACAAACACATCATTATATCCCCAGTTCATAGCAATGCATCTGACACACAGAAGACATGGAAACATTTGTTCCATATTTAGTAAATGCATGATCTTCAGGAATTTAAAAAAATATTGTTCCTCTCCCTCAAGAATTTTATTATTTTCTCTCTGATAAGCACCTGCAGAGGAGGTAATGTATGCGATAGATCCTGTAGAGCTACATGATTAAAATAATCAGTTGGACTCCTTTGAGCTCCTTTCCAATCATGAAGATGATTATAGGTACATTGTCTAAAATTAGATAATGCTTGACATATATACAGCAACAAAGGATCATCTTTTATTAAAATTATGCATTACTAAGCCAGCTTAATCACATTGAGGATCCCTGGGAGCAGGTGTAAAAGATGCATTTCAGAGTTATACCATGCAACAGGAGAGAGAACTGGGGTATTTTCGCACCAACTTTCACCAGTAACTCACTGGCTGAGGCCTACTGCCAGAAGGATGTTAGCTTCTTGGTATTTCTGGCCTGCTCCACTTGAGGACAGAACAGAATGTGATGGCCAGATGAAGTCCTCTGAATTGATATGGCACATGGGAATAGAGGTGGGGCACTGACTGACAGTATTTACTATAATAATATATGTATGTTTCAGA